>NC_000006.12:19453939-19605454 GCF_000001405.40 Homo sapiens
CTCAAAATTTGAATGTCTTCTGTGTTATGATAAAATGCCCTTTCCCTTTAGCCTTCTGCAACAGAGTGCACTCAGAAAGCCTGCTAGATGCATTACAGAGACACATCAGGCATTCTGCAAGCTGAAGATTCTCCACTTTGATCTCCCAGCAAGCTGACTGTGGCACAGTGTCCCCACAGAGTTGAATGCACTGCACAGGAGGGTCTTTTAACTAAAGTGCACACAGGGAAAATTTCATGAGGTTCTTATGAAGTGGTTTGTTTTAGCTCTGAATGGAGGAAAAGAAGTAGAGAGGAAAAGGGAAAATGGTCTTATGACATAAAGATCCAGTTGGACCTGGTGTGATTTTTATCATCTTAAAGCCTGTTTGAGAAGACTAACCTCAAAGTATGAGACTGTCTCAATACAGCACATAAAAAATGGAAGGCAAAAAGTAGCTGGTCTGTAAACAACCCACAAAGCAAATTGCCAGTTGATATTTTCTGAACTAGAATTCTTTGAGTTACAATGGGAACAGCTTCTCGGTATATACAGAGCATGAGTCTTCTCTTTGGTTCCAACGGAGCTTTGTTATGACTTGTAATGAGCTGAACATTGTAATGCATGTTCTAAAAAAAAAAAATTGACTGTGACTGTGTGTGCAAAAATACAATGCACATGCACCAGGATGTTAACAAAACAGCACCTGCACAAACTAAGATTGCAACTCTATTCTCAGCTTATCTTTGCTTTTCACTCACTGGGATCATTTCTCTTTCAATGGGAAGGAAAGCCGCACATGCAAGCAGAATTCCTACATTAAACTGGAGCTACCACTTTTATATGAATCAGAGCTCAGTAAACACAACAAAAATCTGAAAAATTTTAAGTCCAAATATTGTCTGTCACATAAATACAATAAGCTTCCACAATGTTAATAGCAATAGATGATAAGTAACACAGGCTTTTAAACCTGAGGTTGGAATTTAAGAGAGGTACTACACAATTATAGGCTATTTAAAATTGTTTTAAGTTGACTATACACATAAGAAGTATTTGTTCAAACTTTAAAGCTGTCCTTAAAAATAACATCATTAATAGAGTTATAGAAATTAATGTACAGATGAGTGAAAATACATAAATAGCAAAAAATGATCATGTTTATTTGTCCTTTAAAAATGCCAATAGTTAACACAGTTCTCTAAATCTAATCCATCATCTGTTCATGGTACACAAGTGACAGATTTGCTGATTGAGAACAGATAACCCAGGTAAACAATAAAAACCACCACAACAAATAGTGAATGCTCATATTCCTAGAAGTACTATGCCTTGTGCTAAATACTTTAAATTTTTATTTAGTCCTTCAGCGCTCTGTTGGGGAGGTACTTGTTGTGCTTTGAATTTAGCAGATGACCAACCTCAGGGTTCAGGTTTATGAACCTTGCCCCTGTCGCATAGCTAGTAAGCAGCAGAGCTGGGCAGTGTGGCATCCCACTCCTCCCCTAGATCTAGTCATCACATATTTCTCAGTCGCTATACCTATAATAGGAAAAGGGCAAAACGACGTTGAGGATGCCGTTATTTGGGCAAATGTACATTTTTTAATTGTGGGAAGTGAGAGTGCTTTCTATAGTAAGGCCAGTTGGAAGTGAAGAGTGAGTATCCCTAATCTGAATCATTACAGTATTACAAAATGAAGACTTGAAACAACCAAAGAACTTCATATTGCAAAGAGTATTAGAGGGCATCATATCCTACCCAACATAGTGGTTCTGTCCAGTGCATTCCTGACAGATGGCTGCACTTGAACACTTCCAGTGATGGGGCATTCACCACCCACTAGGCAGCTTATTCCAATTTTGAATGACTTGAATTTTTAGAAAGGGCATCACTACATGGAGCCAAAAATCAGAGCTACTATCACTTCAAGTAATTACTACATGCTGTATCACTTGATCATTGAAGAAACTATTGTCTCACTGTAAAATATGGGAGGTAAAGTATATACAAGGGGCAGCATATTTAATTGCATAAGTGGCATGTCCAGGTTTGGATTTCTTCCTCAGTTGTGTCGATGCCAGTGAAATCCAACAGCAAGCCTGGATTATACTGCATAACCCCAAATAAAATTTACCAGCAAACCAAGGGCATCCCACATCACATAATTATTGTACTTCGTTGTATCAGCTTAATGTCTATTGTGTTGGTAAAGACATATCAAATATCTGATTGAAGCCAGATTCAGAACTGGGCATGGTAGCAGCAAACATGCAGTAGGTCTGTGAACAGGTAATTGCCACTATAAACCCTCTAAGTGAGGCACGAAGGAGGACATGAGCTATAATTTATACATGTAGTGTGTAATGGAGGACACACAGACAGCTGATGGGTGACTGTGGCTCCTCACACTGCCAGCTTGCCTTAGAGGGCAGGGCTGCTGATGGAGCAAGGCATGGTGCCCATTGCACGTGCCCATTCCGTACATCCAACCAAAGAGACTAAAATTCAGGGAAAATATTTGCTCTCAAAGCAAACAGAATCAGCATACACTTTAATCTGTTCTATAGATACGCAGTGCCGCCTCTTAACCAAATGCCTTACTCTTGAGCAGTTCACTGCACTCTGTAACCAAACGTCAGACAGGACAGGAGAATGTAACTCCTTCATTTCTAGAGAGAAGTGCAAAGTTTGCTCATATTGCCCAATATTTTACATCCCTTGTGTCTAAAATTAAAATCCCAGCAGTGACCCAGGCTTGACTGTATTCTAAATAGAAGCTACATCAAAAGAGCTTAGGAGTCTGGCTTCCTAAGCCAGGGTCATGAATTGATACTTCACTGCTGACTTCTTCTGCCCCAATCTCTAAGAGAAGCTCTAGCTGGCCTCCAGAATTGGCAAAATTCTGTGATGTCTCTCTAAATCGAAAATCTATTGTTAAAAACAAACTTCTTTTAAGAGGTTGACTAATTTTTGTGAGTATCCATAGTTTTTATCAGCATCCATAGACATCCAATGTCTTCTGACATTAATTTTATTGAGTTTTTAACTCAAAAGTTATGTTAAATGCATGTTCTTGTCTTTTTGCATTTCAATCTATTTTTTAAAATATTTGAAAGTATTTGAATTTCAAAATAAGCTGTCACCTATTACAGGTTATCCCAGAAGTCTTAGTGGAGTTTTGAGCTTTCATAACTTAGGCAGAAACAAATGCTACAAACTTCCGAAGACCATTTGTCATATTTCTGGTTACCTTTCCTCTAGGCTCATGCAGTTTTGTGAATTTTTCAAAATCTGTTTTTAACTTTTTCCAGTTTCTCTTACTGAAAATGGTACACACTGACTAGAAAAATAAAATAAAAAAATCAGTTAAGATTCCCAAAATTGCATACATATTAAAAATATAAATAATTACTATTTTAAGAGACACTTGAACAAGACAGTACATTCATACTTCTGAAATAATTAAAGCTCAAAAGTGAATTAAGGGTTTTTGAAGACTCTGTATAATGTTCCAGTTCTGGAGCCCTGCAGAGACAGCGTATGTCAGGTGGGAATATAGCAACCCAAAAGCCATCTCTGTATTTACGCTTCTTTACTCACTGCCTGAAAATGAAGAAGCATAACATAGAAAGAGGACCCCCATCTTTAAGACGTCATTTCCACTTTGTGAATGCATAAATTAATGGTGGAGAAGTTTCAAAAAGAGCATCTTCCCCAGGTCAAACCCTGGGCTCTGCCCCACGGCACATGATTCAGATTTAGAGAGCAACATTTCACCCACCATATCGCTATCGAATCTAATCATAATGAAGACAGAAGAGATTTTCTTACTTGAGCACATAAAGTCAAAGCTTACAAAGAGTCTGCTTGGAGAGATTTGGGCATATATGCAGACTTGATTCATTCCTTCTACTCTCAAGACTAGAAAAATCTAAGAAAGTTGAGGGTTGCGCTCAAGTTTGTATTCCCCTTCTTTAGGCCCCTTTTCTGCCTCCTGCCTTCCCAGCTCCTCAAAGAGACACTGAATGTCACCACCACAGAAAAATCAAACCAGACTGTGAGAAGGCCAAAGAACTCTTTACCACTCAGTTTATATGAAATAGTCAAGCAGAAAACAATCTTTCAGCCTAGTCGCATTGACTCATTTCATGAATGAGAAAAAGGGAAGAACATTTTTATCATACTGTGTTTTATCAATCTTGGGATAAAAGTCTGAGCCGGAACTTAAGCATTCCCCTCTCAAAAGGGTACGGTGTCAAAGACACCACAGAGATAGCTTATGTTAACCACATAGACTGTCATCTAGCTGCAGGTAGGGACCATTCTATTCATTGTCCAATCACTACCACAGAGCTGGTACATGGACTACGATCAGCAGATGTTTGTTTCACAAAATGTAGCTCTCGGGACAATATAAATTTTTTTTTTGAGACGGAGTCTCGCTTTTTCGCCCAGGCCGGACTGCAGTGGCGCTAACTGGGCTCACTGCACTCTCCACCTCCCGGGTTCACGCCATTCTCCTGCCTCAGCCTCCCGAGTAGCCGGGACCACAGGCGCCCGCCACCGCGCCCGGCTAATTTTTTGTATTTTTAGTAGAGACGGGGTTTCACCGTGTTAGCCAGGACGGTCTCGATCTCCTGACCTCGTGATCCACCCGCCTCGGCCTCCCAAAGTGCTGGGATTACAGGAGTGTGCCACCGCGCCCGGCCAATATAAATTTTTATGTTATAAAAAGCTATTAGAGTATGTTAATCTTTTGCTTCCACATATTCTGGGTTGGATAAAAAAACAAGAATGTTTTTAGAGTAAAGGGATAATACTGTATTCTAATTTTGATGGAAAGAACAAATTCCAGGAAAGAATTGCAATCATTCTGGTTTAAATTTTTAAAGGAGGAGGAGGAAGGGGCACACAGGAAGACAAAGTGCGCTGAAAGAAGAAAGAAGCCTAGAAAATAGCACAGAATACTGAGAGACACAGAAGAGAACACGAAGAGATTGCAATGGGACTGGGACTTGGAACCACTTTCTGTACATGTTGTTTTAAGTATTAATTTTTGTGTAAATGGCATATAAGATCCTCATCCACCATCTACATAAAAGATTGTGGTGCCAAACAGGACTGCCCCGTGTGGGCTTTGTTTCCAAGTCAGCTTTCTCACAAGCATCTCTCCATTTTCTGACAAATGAACGGAACAAGTTCATTGGAACAAGGAGGGTGTATTGTCTCTATTTGCCGTTGGCTGGTTTGCTTCCTTGGGGGACTTAATGAAGGAGCAGCATTTGGACAGGAGGGAAAGAGCTTTGGAGTTGTCAAAAAGCACTAGTTAAAAAGCTTCAAACTGGGTCTTGCCAGTGTGTAACTGCTGTGGAAGAAAACATTTGAAAACAAAACATGCATTTTTAATAAATGGAGACATAAAAGTTATTTTTATTTGATCTGAGCCTGACATTATTCTGTGCTTCTAAATTCCTTTGGATACACTAGAAGTTTCAATTCCCATGTCATCTTCAGAGTGCTTTGAGGAATGTGAATATTGTGCAATTATCTTTTGGATGAATGGAAAGAAAAGGTAATCTTTCCTTGAATGATAACCTTTACTCAGCCTTAAATATACAAGAAATGCTTCATTTCTCACTTTCTTTATCTGACACACTGAAACAACACCAATAATTGTTTAGGCCTCTTGCAGAGATTCTCTGCTCCCTATTTTGTATCAGAAGTTTTTATAAATGTTTCTCACGTGAAGTTTAAATTGATCAGCATTTAACTAGGTAAATTGGAGACTTCTTTGTTTGCAATTCTTTCTCAGTCTTTTGCCCATAAATCAAGGAACTGAATGGACTTAAAGACCTCCCATCATTTTGTAGATGATGAAACTGAGACCCAGAATGTCTGATATTTGTGCAAGACCACCTTGCTAGTTCTGCAGACCCAAAACACACCCATTCTTCAAGACTTCCACTGTTTCTTCTGCTTAATAATAAAACATACACCATAAAAAGCAGTTGCTGTTTTTTGAGGCACAGTGCTAATGCTTTAAATATATTAAGATATTTTTCTTCATTATCTCCTCACAAGATAATTATTATTCTCTTCACTTAGATAAGAAAGCTGGTAAGAATCCAAAAAGGTAGCATAACTCACCCAATGTTACAAAGCTGGACAGTGGCAAAACCTGAACTAGAACACAGCTCAGACTGACCCCAAAACCAGAATAGCTAAGCTAACATATCCCTGAAATTCAAAATAGAATGAAAACCTGAATATGAAAATAGAAACAGAGGCACACGTCTCCTTGGGTACCGTAACAACAACAACAACAAAAGTGAAAATCAGGCTGTTTCTTGAACTAATGGGAAGAAATCCAATCTAGATATTAGAGTCCTTGCCAGTTCCATAAATCACCTAACTGAGGAATATTGGGAAAATTCAGCCTCACTGAGCCTTGGAGTCATGCTCTCTAAGGCCAGTGTTAATGCTACCTGCTCCACCTCCTTCACCAGACCACCGAGAGGTTCAAATGAGAAAGATAAATATGAAGACGTTTCCAAATAATTATCAGATAATTATAATTTTAAATTCTAAGACCCACTGGAAAGGGTCTCAAAATTATGCACTTCTTATTAATTGCAGAAATAAATAGATAGATGAATTAATACAAAAATTAAAAAATGAACATTTCTCCACCATGTTGCTTCGGGGAAAAATTACCTAAAAGATTTGCTTCTCTGATTTGAGAATCCTCTTGCTATTTATATGACGCCAAGAAATACTGAAAGCAAATGAGGGTGTACTTGGTTGATTAGTGTGCTCCCCGAATCATAGCTACCCAGAACCCCAGAATGTGACTTTATTAGGAAATAGTATCTTTATAGATGTAATTACTTAGAGATCTCGAGATGAAATCATTATTGGATTTAGGGGGATGATTTCCCTAAAACCAGTGACTGGTGTCCTTATAAGAGGATAGGACACAGAGACATACAAAAGAAGGCCGTGTGAAGGTGGAGGCAGGGATGGGAATGATGTTGCCATAAGTCAGGGAACACCAAGAGCCACCAGAAGCTGGAAGAGGCAAAAGATTCTCTCCTAGAAACCTCAGAACACATGTGGCTCTGCTACCACCTTGATTTCAGACTTCTGGCCTCTAGAACTGTGAGAGAACAAATGTCTGTTGTCTTAAGCCACCTAGATTGTAGCTGTTTGTTCCAGCCCTAGGAAACATATAGAAAAGGTAACGAGCCTTCATCAGTTATGTTCTCAAGTCACCAGGGAGGTGGCTTCTCCTCCATGCCCATCCTCGGATGCTCCCCTGAATGGGTGAGGCTCTTTGGACAGTACTGTACCAGTTGTTTATAGGCAATTTCCACTCCAATTGATCAGGGCTCAGCTGCTAAATAGGATAAATATCTTAAATATCCCCTCAGCTCACAGGTATTATAGGGAAGCAGTATTCAGTTGTAAATATATGATTCACTCTAGCTGCTTATCTATTATTATGTTTGATATAATTTTGTGTTCAGAGCTTTTCATGAATAGACATGCTGGATGGAGCTAGAAGCTCATCTGAGTCAAGAATGAAAATGTTGGTGATAAAAATTGCACATTTTAGATTTGAGCACATCTTATGGTCTCAACAGAAAAGGTCCCCGGGATGATAATTACTTTTACTTTTCACCTTTGCTACAAAAATAATATAAAAGATAGGAAATGGGAAAGAGCTGCTTCAGCTTATTAAAAAAGAGACGGTGGGCATATTTTTTAAACTGTTTACATATTAAGGGGCTTGAGATCACCACCATGGTCAAAGGGTACTGGGACTCTGCACAGAAGACCCTCAATTAATATTTGATGGAAGGACAAAGAATAAATGATTTTTACATATATCTTACCTTAGTAAAATTACTATAGGATCTGCTACAGTATGTGATCATACAGACTGAAATATTTGGCAAATTATAAAACATTTATTTGCATATAGGGCAGTAGGAGGTGGACATTTCTTAGGCAGGGTCAGTTCCGGGAATACCCTGCTCTTCTTCCCTTTTCTTCCTAAAAAAGTGAGTTCATGTTCTTTGCAGGGACATGAATGAAGCTGGAAACCATCATTCTCAGCAAACTAACACAGGAACAGAAAACCAAACACCGCATGTTCTCACTCATAAGTAGGAGTTGAACAATGAGAACACATGGACACAGGGAGGGGAACAACACACACCGGGGCCTGTCAGGGGGTGGAGGGCAAGGGGAGGGAGAACATTAGGAGAAACACCTAATGTAGATGAGGGGTTGATGGGTGCAGCAAACCACCATGGCACGTGTATACCTATGTAACAAACCTGCACGTTCTGCACATGTAGCCCAGAACTTAAAGTATAATTTTTTTTAAAAAAAGCATTTATTTGTATATAGGGCAGTGGGAGGTGGATATTTCTTAGGCAGGGTCAGCTCCGGGAATACCCTGCTCTTTTTCCCTTTTCTTCCTAATTCCTCCTATGTCACCAGTATTAAGGACATCTTAACCAGACAGATTAAAAGGCTAAATAACCATGAGGGGCTGTTGGGGAGAAGCATACAGCTTAACTGTAATGAAATTATAATGTTTAACACTCTTTACCTCACTGATCCTGTGACTATACCCTAAGGCCCCACCCCACGTATGTCTTCCCCAACAATAATGAAGGCAAAAGAATAGAAACAGGTGTTCCCCATGAATGCCTGGACCCCGAGGGCACCACCTGTGTCCGCATAAATCCAACGCAAACAGTATCCAGCACAGTTGTGAGCAAGGTTATAGGACTCATCATGGTCCCCTGCCAAGGCAGGAAAATGAGGACAGGTAATCTGGCTCTTTTAAGCATCAGAGATACACTGCCAAATACATGGAAGGGGACAAAATTCTCTTCCTTCTTGAAATTCTTAGCGAAAGAAGTAGAACTCAGCCAATACAAAATGAAACTTCTAAAAGTGGATTAAAAATATCAGGCTGGGCACGTGGCTCATGCCTATAGTCCCAGCACTTCGGAAGGTCGAGGCAGGAGGATCACTTGAGCCCTGGGCAACATGGTGAGACTACTTCTCTACAAAAAATTAAAAATATTAGCTGGGTGTGGTGGTACATGGCTGTTGTCCCACCTCCCCCAGAGGGTGAGGTAGGAGGATGACTTGATCCTGGGAGGTTGAGGCTACAGTGAGCCGTGATGGTGCCACTGCATTGCAGCCTGGGCGACAGAGCAAGACCCTGTCTCAAATATACATATATCAAACAGTTCTCAGAGTACACATGGCTTTATTTTACCATGTGGTTCATTCACAAGAATATGCCAAATTATACTCACCAGGAATTGAGGATACTATCAGCTCCAGAAATGGACATAGCAAGTTGCTGGTTGGGAGTCCTGTATTTCACAGGGCCCTTTTGTCCCCAGGTTTGGTGATAAAGCTCCCTTTCCTTGGCAACAGAACTACAGGAGAAGTGGCTGGACAAGTGTAGCTTGTATTTCTACCTTCAGTAAGGGAACCCCATATGAAGATGTGCCAGATCTTTTTTTAACACAGCTGGCAGCCTGAAGCAGCAATGCACGTGGATATCTAAGAGCGGGGAGACATTCAGGGAAGACAGGGCTAATGGAGCCACAGGGTGAAGTGTCTGATCTGCTCTAACAACCTTCTCAGTACCAACCAAAGCTATTTCTCCTCCCAAAGCAATCACACATGATTAAAATGCCATGTTCTTCACAATATTCTGGGGGAGTCACATTTACTGTGACTCTCAGACATTTTGCCTTTATTGGGCAAAAGTGAGACCCATTGTACCCCAGGCCGCCTGTTGAGTGGATGCTTGGGGGCTACAAATCTGATAGCCTACTGGGGGGATGGTTACCGTACTTTCATATGTTGAAAGTACGCTGCCAAGCTAGATGTGCCGAAAGAGCCATTTGGAAATGACACGCTAAGAACCAGAGAGCCTCCTTGATAACAGTCAGTCTCAGCATTGCCGGATTCAGGCTACTAGGAGTTACAGTTACAATTTCCCCAGGACAATGTTTCTTAGGAAATGTGTCCGATCTTTGGTATTTTTGCATGATGGATTTTCTTGACATAATGCTGGACCCAACACCTGGGCCTCATCAGCCCCACTGTTAATGATTTGTGAATGCTTTATGGTCTTTGGGCATATAAAGGTGTGCCCTCAGATACACCGTCTCTGTACACATCACGTCTTCCGTGCACAATCGTCAGTGTGTGGGAAGTTCCTGGGGCCTCTCCCCCAAATGCTGTGTGAGAAAATGAGATCTAGTATCATAAAAATTTTTTTAAAAGAACTCCCAAACTGTAGATCCCTTTTAAAACTTCATCATAGTGGTTCAAATCTGTGCTAGTGTATACAGTACTTAATATACTTTGTTCATTAAATTGGCTTAATTGAAAAATATTTAATTCATTTAGATACTGGCAAAGATCCATTTTTTTAATTTACAAAATCCCCTTAAAATATGAATCGTCTCAGTCTGTTTTGTTCCTACAGGTTTACCTTAACAGTTAAAATATCTTTTGTCATTTCTCCTGGTTTTAAGATATTTCTTTCCCATAACCAGGGTGTCAGCACACAGAACAAGCAGGTCAATGGTTTTCAAAGTGATTTCTAGCTGCACTTTTTTTTTGAGGCGGAGTTTCGCTCTTGTCGCCCAGGCTGGAGTGCAATAGTGTGATCTCGGCTCACTGCCACCTCTGCCTCCCGGGTTCAAGCGATTCTCCTGCCTCAGCCCCCCAAGTAGCTGGGATTACAGGCACCTGCCACCACATCCAGTTACTTTTTTTTTATATTTATAGTACAGACAGGGTTTCATCATGTTGGCCAGCCTGGTTTCGAACTCCTGACCTCAAGTGATCTGCCTGCCTCAGCCTCCCAAAGTGCTGGGATTACAGGCGTGAGCCACCGGGCCCGGCCTAGCAGTACTTTTATAGCAAATGGGACCCTTGGATGATAATTCCAATTGCACTGGAATGTTACCTTGCAAAATGTGTACAGATTAAAAAACTAAAAGGGGAAAAAAATGCTTGCCAAATGGTCACTGAAAATTGCAGAAATTAAATGCTCAAGACAAAATTCCAAGCATTTAATATAATCAAGTGGCAGCGGGGTTTGTCTACCGCACTGCCACAGACTAATGGCTCAAGTTCCTGCTTTGCAAATCTGATTTCTTGCTCAGAATGTTGCTCATAATTGGCTTCTAGGCCAGGATGCCCATTGAGATGTAGGAAATAGCTGTTGTTGATATTTTGATGCCGAAAAGGGTCAGATTTTTCTTTCCTGTAACCACTCACTTTCTCTTTGCCTCTTGTCACATTTCCCCCCATCTCCTGCTCATTTTACCCACATTAAAGCTGTAAGTAAATAAATGACAGGCTGTGGCCTATCATCAGGTGACAGATCATCCTGCCTGGGCTCTGAAGAACGGAGACGTTGTCATCTGTCTGGTCCCCCTCACATTCCCTGTCAGCCTCACCGCATCCGGGTGGCATGTCACAGTCATCGGAGCAAGAGGAATACAGCCGTGTAAACATCAGCTTGGGAGCCGAGTCAATCAAACACGGGACTCTAACTGCACAGAAGCCCTTTGCTGCCGGAAAAGAAAAGCACTCAGAGAGAAAGAAATGCCTTTCAGTGGCCTGTTTCTGCTTCCGCTGCTGCTACTTATTTCTTAATTGAATTTAACAGGTTGTGGGTTTTGTTGAAAGGGAAAAGTCATAATTTTTCCCCATCAAGAGTAGGGGACTTAACACAAATCTCGCTGTTTTAGAGCTGATCAATAGTTATTGGATTTGCCCAATCAGCCAAAGGAGAGGAGAGGCAAATCAAAGCCATAGGCCACAAGGACTCTTACAGAGCTTTACAGCCTCCACCAAGATGAAAGTTAGGCAAGTTGCAAGAAACGACAACAAAGGAGATGATGAAACATCTCCTCGGCTGAGCTCAAGTGGCATTTGGAAGAATAATTTGGAGGGTTGTTCCAAAACAAATAATGAACCATGTATTAAAATAAACAAAGTCATAAAAATGTCAGGAGGAATGCCAGAATAATAATGACTTCCCAGTGAGAGAGAAAAGTCAAAGGAGGATAATGCAACCTCTTCCTGAATGAAAACAGCCAGTGCTCTCTGTCCCCATGGACTTTCCATCTCCTTCTGGATACGGCTTAAGAAGCTTTTGGAGCTGCCATTTTAGAAGCTGTCTTTCATGGTACATAAGGAGAAAAAGTGGATGGATCCTTCCCTTGTTCTGTTAAAAAAGTAACTGTCCACCATCACATAGCTTTCTCATGTATCTGCAGTGCATGTGGAAAGACTCTTATGAGGAAGGTACCTTCTGCTGAGATTTCCTGAATACCCTGACCCTCACCTTGGGAGCAGCCATTGACAAAACTTGTACTATGGGAGGCCCTTTGGCTAAGCATTGATGATTTCTGAAAATGGGGTCGCTTTGTTATTTCTCTGTCAAAAGGACTTATGTAACTATCCAGCAGTATAAAGCATCAGAGTAATAGTACCGATGAGTCCAGAATTATCCCAAACCATAGGGATTCTGAGGCAACAACAATTGCAGAGTTCATATGTAGCATTAAACTAAAAGCCACTGAACACTGAGTTGATATCCTATCCCTAGGTTCCTTGATCTACCACTGAAGACCCTGAAAGTCCTGGTCCCAGCCTAAATTTTCAGCCACATTTCTTTTTCTTTTCTTTCTTTCTTTCTTTTTTTTTTAGATGAAGTTTCACTCTTGTTGCCCAGTCTGGAGTACAATGGCACAATCTTGTCTCACTGCAACCTCCACCTCCCGGGTTCAAGCGATTCTCCTGTCTCAGCCTCCCAAGTAGCTGGGATTATAGGCACCCACCACCACGCCTGGCTAATTTTTGTATTTTCAGTAGAGATGGGGTTTCACCATGTTGGACAGGCTGGTCTTGAACTCCTGGCCTCAGGTGATCCACCTGCCTCAGCCTCCCAAAGTACTGGGATTACAGGCCTGAGCCACCACAGGTGGCCTACACTATTTTTAGGAAACTATATTACTATCAGTGGCCTGTACTTTCCTGTATTTGGGATATTGCTTTTATTACCCCCACCCCTGGAATATGTCTCATCTTTCCATGTATCCATCAAACATACACACTGGCCTAGAAATTCCATTTCTAGACATTCATCAGCAAGGAAACAAATTTCCTTCAAGATTCTCTTTTCAGTATGTTTACAATAAAAAAAAGATAGCAACCCCAAATTCTCAACATTATATAATACTTAAATAAATTATAATACATCCATATGTAATAATGTAGTATTCAGGCAATAAAAAATGATACCATAGATTAATATTGATTCTCATGGAATAATATTCATGATATATATTTTTGATGGAGAAAAATAAGCTACAGAACCAACCTGTACAAATGGTTTTGCTTTTATAAAAAGCAACATATCTATATATGTATATATTCATTTATATCCATATTCATAATTTTATTGAGAGTGTAGAAATACACACCAATGTATACATGTGTTATTTATGGATCAAGAAATTGTTTTGTGTGTATGCATGTCATTTAATTTTACAACCTTTCAAAAGTAAACATGAATTACCTCGATATAGAAAATAATTTTAATGTAAACTATCCTTCAAACTCTAGCTCAAATGCCTTTCTTCCCACACAAAGCTTTACCTAAAACTTCATCAGTAAGCTCTTCTTTTTCTGAACTCTATCTGTATCTATTTTATGCCGTTTAAATTTCATCTTGGGTTAAATACATTCGTGTATTATTAAAATATAAACTGCATGAGAGTAGCAGTCCTTTCTAATTTATTCTTGCATGTAAACTTGTAGCAAATGTTTACAAATATCCATTGTATGAATAAATATTGTGTGCCTAATCAGTAATTCTAAAATTTAGCTGCATATCAGAATTACTTTGAAAGTGTTTTAAAAGCACAGAGTCCTGGGCCTATCAATGCTTTTAGGTCAGAGGTGGAGAATTACGGTCCTACCGTTCCTCCTAGACAATTCCAGTTTAATCTAGGAAATTATCCTTCCACCTGGCATGCTCATACTACCTGTCCACATACTTGAGCTTTGGGTCGTTAACGCCCTGAATTAATTCCTGCCCTTGCAAAAAGTATATAAGCAATCATTAACTGATCAGACTTAATAATCAAAGTGCCCGGAATATTACAAGTGTTTTAACAAATGTTTGTTAAATGAATAGTTATATTCTTCTGCCATGTTCCTAAGAGCTTGTACTTGTGACTTCCTCCAGAGTTCTCTCTCTGATTGCCTTGATTTGCCCCTTTTCTGTCTCCCCGATACTCCTCTAATTGTCTTCTTGAGAGCTGATTCACCTCTTAGCCTGATCATAATATTTTTGTAAGTACAGATTTTTCAGCCAGGTTGGCACAGGAAAATTAGCTGTGCACATGAAGGAAGCTTCAAGATCAACATCAAAAGTTCTTCGGTGGGTAATGGGATCTGGGGTTGAGTACTTAGTAATGGGATTAATCCATGATCTGAGAGGTGAGTCAGGGGCAGTTGGGAGCAGTGAAAATCATTATCTGGTGGTAGAGAGATGGGAAGAGAAGGAAATCTAAAAAAGGATATTCCAACAGCATTAATTCAGGGAGAGAGCTGCACATTGGGTACATGGCAATTCCATCAAGAACATTTAAGTAGGGAGACAGTTCAAAGAATTTGTCCGTATACTTTCTCTGCCCATTTGTCATTGTCACTTATTGTCACTGTTGTTTATAAGCTTTGCTCTTCACTCATCATTTCTCCTAACCTTTCACTTGCCTGGTCCTAAATCCCAGGATCCTTTCAATTCTCTGGCATGTCTTAGTCAGTCCAGTCCTAGGAGTCATTGTATGTATCTGACCATAGAAAAGATTGAGGTAGAAGGTGCTGATGGGAAGATAAACAAAATATGAAATTGAACATGAATTGGTCTTTAGACCATTGCATTGCTATAAATCACCCTTCACCTGTGTAATCATTATATTGAAACAATATAGCACATACAGTGTCATCTATTGCAACGTTATCTAACTGCAAATCCTTCTCTGTAGAGGTCAAATTTACCTTTTCTGGGTACTCATGAATTGTAGGTTTTTAAAAGCCCATTAGCAAGCACTGAGATCTGTCGTCTCAAGTTTTCTATTTGAAACCAATATATGTGGCAAAAATATGTTCCAATTTTTATTTTTAGTAACAATGAAGAAGATAATTTGGTAGTTAGAATGTGTGTGGATGTGCATTAATATCATTACCGCACTTTTGACTTTCCAAATGTGCCCTGTTTTTAATTGAAATAAAACCACTATCAGACACTTCGGAAATCATTTTAGAATAATTTTGAAGACATTTGTTCATAGAAAAAAATGAGTCTTACTATCATATGATTTAAGTATTTAAAAACAAAGTCTAGTAACTTTTAAGGAAATTAAGTAATTTTAGCTTCGAGAGCATCTTTCTCCAAAAGCTAGTTATCTGGGAAATAAAATTGCATAAACCACCATTCTGGATACTTCTTTTGCATGCTTAATTGACTGAAGGATGTAAGATTTTCCCTAAAAAATATGTATATTTACCTTGAATTATCATTTGATGCCTCTTACTCCAGACCTCTCTCTTTTTGAGCATCTGGTCTGTGGTCCTTGGTCTCAATTTTGTTTCTGGATTCTCTGTAGAGACCTGTCACTCAGATTTTCATAGTAAACATACTAATACCTTTTTTTCTCTTTATGAATTATATTTTATAAAAATCTTAAATTTTCTCAAATTTGTCTACCACCCTTCCCTTTTCTTTACCAAGATAGAAAATATGATGAATCCATAGAAACAACATCCACATTAATTATAAATTTATTATTTTCCTCCTTCTCAGGTGAAAAGACAGGCACACAGAAAAGCACCCTTTTAACCTTTACTGCATGCACGACGAGGGTCAAATGCAGAGAGACTATGTACACACATCCAAGGCAAAGGGAGGGAGAGTGAGAGGGAGATAGAGACAGAGACAGAGAGACGGGGGGGAGAGAGAGAGAGAAAAGAGAGAAAGAGAATGAGAACAATGAAGAAAAAGAATGTAGCATACCTACGAACACTAAACCAGAAGTGAAAAAATATGCCATTTAAGAGTGTAAACTCTGAGGTCTGAAGTCCAAAAGAAGGAAGTCCAAGGGGCTTTGACGGTCAGTGAGATCATATCTGTGCTATTACTGAGGGTCCACCTCTAATCAGTTTACGAATGTTTTTCTTTCTCCTGCCTACTCCTGCCCATTCACACACACACACACACACTCTCCCACAGACACACACAGACTCACACATACACACAAATTCACACATACACACACTCACACAGAGATGCATACAGTCACACATATGCACACATTGACAATCACACATATATACGCATACACTCACACATACACACCCTGGCACACACATTTGCACGCTCACAATGCACATTCACACACTAACACATACACACACACATACACAGACACACACACATACACGTTCACACACATACACACATATACACATTCACAGTCACACGTACATACACAAACATACCCCGACTCACACATACACACACATTTGCATGCTCACACATATATACACGTTCACATACACATTCACATATACACAGACTCACACATCCACACACTCCCACACACATACATGCATACACACATTCACACATATGCACATTTACACACACATACACACTCACACATTCGATTCACTCACACACATACATGCATACACACACTCATACATACACACACTCACAAACAGAGGTGACCATTTCAGAGGAGCAGAGTGCACCCCCTGCGCCTGGCCCACTTCTCCCAAGATAGAGAACAATTTGGCATGAGGAAACATTTAGGTCTAAGAGTCTCCTGCTTTGAGAAAATCTATTTTACAAAAATACAACCACACAGCACATATACATGGGAGTATCTGATGACTTCACCCAAGAATCCTTCATATTTTAGAAGGATCTGCCGCAAGATTTTTCTAAGTAGCAAATATCATTAAATCATTTATTTAAAATAACATATAATTTATAAATAAATGTTACAAAAGCAATTCCAACATCATAAATTCAGGCATGGCTCTCCAGATTTTGGAGGTACCTTCACTTTTGAACCATATTTCTTTGTAATTTTATACAAAACTATGAAAAAATAACTCCCATGGGAGTCACACATAGCCTTATAAAGATTCTCAAATGTCGGTTCTGGATAAGTACTTTGGCTCTAATCTGTTATATTTCTCTTCCACTTTCAGCTAGTGTAAAGTTATAAAAGTTTACTCTAAAAACTAAAATAGTTAATAGAGAAAATTTCAAGGAACTTTCATAAGGAACGGCATACATATCTCTACAATAAACCCCTTAATGAATAACGTTATCAGAGTTATTTAGGCTAAAATTAATTAACCTAAATTTTCAAATTGAATCCCAAAAACTGTGGATGCTGCCTTTCGTGTTGGCATGCAAAATTAAGCCTGCATCTGTTTCCATTCAAAAGTTCCATCAATGGGCACTTTCAATTGGCTTGCTCCATAAGTAATTCAGAAGGTGGAACAGCAAAAAGATAAGAGGGTTCATTAAGTGATTAAAGTCACTGGAATTGATAATTTTTTTATATCAAAAGATTTCACAAAGAAAATGCGACTGTAGGGAAGTTTGGATTAATTTTTTTTTTTTTAACCTTGGGGGAAAGGGAGAGAGTACAATTAAATTAAGGGAGGTTCACGAATAGTGTGGAAAGTCAAGATTCTAATTTACATGAAGCTCTTCAGGGCCTCATAGGGGTCATAATAAACATGATTTGGGGGATAATCATTTGACTTGAGTTGACCAGAATTAACTTGCTAGAATAAAGGGAGACTGAGGCTTTCCCAGCTTCCGCTTGGGTGGGGAGCTTGTACCATTATTTGAATGAGTTATGCATAGCCTGAGAGTGCTTTTTGAATTTGACAAAAGGCATCTTCACACAAGTGCCCACCCAGTCAACTTTTCCATGCTTCCAAAGTCTTATAATCACTAGTGAAAGAGAACGCTTCTGCACCAGCACTGCAAGGGATGAGGACAGCACGTGTTCAGGGGAGAGAAGTAGTCAGTGGCTCCTGCACCAAGAGGCAAAGGACAAACATGCACCTCAGCATCTCAATCTTCACCAAACCATGAGAAAATTCTCAGTGCCTCAGAGCTTCCACTTTCTTTTCTTAAAGAAGGCTATCGCTTTACAGATATTTCCTAATGTATTTCTAGGAACCCTTCAGGGGGGTCTATGAGTCATGCATCAGACCTGTCTTTTGCACACATCTGTGGTTGGCCAAGTCAGGGCTCTGCTGCCTTAGAATGCAAGAGTTTCCCAAGGAACCTGGGCTGCACTAGAATTCTTCCCTCACTGCCTGAGGCATTGTCATGACCTTTGAGTAAGTGAAGAGAGACTAGAACGTTATTACCTCTGTATGCGATGAACCTCACCTCATAATACACTCCATGGCCATGGTGAGTCAGAACACCACTGCAGCTTGGCGCTAGTGAGCTTAATGATACAGGTCCATATCACTACTTTTGTAAAATAAGAAGTACATTTCCTCCATTGCAATTAGGAATTAGGATAAGGGAACCAGAAAACACTGGTTTGGGGGCTCAAGCTCCCAAACTTTACAGAAAACTTACTAATAAAATAATTTTGTCCATAGGGTGTAAAATGCTGTTAGAATGGCTGATCCAGAAAAATTTTATTTTTCAGTTGCGACACTGTACCTACTACTATCACTTTCCTCCATTTGGAGAGGGATGGGATGAGATATATATATATTTTTTTTTTTTTCCATATTTCCATCCCTGGGGATAAACTCAGTAGGCTAGAGTATAGAAATAATATTCAATATTTACATTGATATACATTTTTAAAAAATAATATCAACCACACAGAAATTATATGAAAGGAGTTTGGGCAGAGAAGTGACACAATAGACACAATTTGATTCAGGCTTTGTTTTTAGTCCAGCCCTGCAGTTCCCAAACTGTGCGCTGAGGGCGCCCTGGTGCTGCGGTGATTCATATGGGCACTGCAGGATGGACTACATTTTAGAGGAAAACATAGTGACATTTGTCAAATACCACATGAGCTATTATTACCACGACTTTTCTTGGACATAAATCAACTTAATAAGCAGGCTTGGACCTAAACTCAATTAATAAATGGAACTATTAGGTTTAGGGTGTTTTTGTTTTTGTTTTGTTTTGCTTTAGCTAGATGCACTTTGAAAAAGAGCTAAGACATTAAAGATGCTGTGAATGGAGTAAGTTTGGGAACCCATGGTCTAGCCAAGTGATGATGGCTGGCATTCCTGTGCTCAATCTCTGGCAAGAAAAACAAATATGGCCAAGTCCTATTGCTTGGAATGGTTTGGAAATAACATAATACTTTCGCAAAAACTAGTTTTCCTAAAATATGGGAAATTTTGACTTACTTGCATATTGATATGGTTAGGCTTTGTATCTCCACCCAAATCTCATCTTGAACTGTAATTCTCATAATCCCCATAATCCCCATGAGTCAAGGGAGAGACCAGGTGGAGATAATTGAATCATGGGGGTAGTTTCCCCCATGCTGTTCTCATCATAGTGAACTCTCACGAGATCTGATGGTTTTATAAGGGACTCTTCTCCATTTGCTGGGCACTTCTCCTTCCTGACGCCTTGTGAAGAAGGTACCTTGCTTCCCCTTCGCCTTCTGCCATGATTATAAGTTTCCTGAGGCCTCCCCAGCCATGCTGAACTGTGAGTCAATTAAACCTCCTTCCTTTATAAATTACCCACACTCCAGCAGTTCTTTATAGCAGTATGAAAGCAGACTAATACACATACTTACATTGTAAAAGTAGTTTAATATAGATGAAAAATACAGTCAACTAGCACTTCTTCCTTGTTTTCTTATTCAATAAGTTAGGACTTAGAAAAAGTTTCGAGTTCACAGATTGCCTAAATATCTTCTTCACTCATCATTCAAAAACTGGTGGCTCGTGAAAATGGTAGTATGAACGAGACATGCCCACCCGTGAGAAATCATGTTTCTTCGTATGATAGGTCATGGTAGGAAACTAATCCTAAGCAGGAAGACATGTTCCTGGATATATAATACAGGCTTCTCAGAACCATTCACATGAAATTTGACCCTAAAGCAGCAGTCCTCAACCTTTTTGGCACAGAGATTGGTTTTGTGAAAGACAATTCTATGAACCAGGGTGGATGGGTGTGTTAGCCTATTTTCACACTGCTGATAAAGAGATAACTGAAACTGGGAAGAAAAAGAGGTTTATTAATTGGACTTACAGTTCCACATGACTGAGGAGGCCTCAGAATCATGGCAGGAGGTGAAAGGCACTTCTTACATGACATGAGAAAAAAAAATGAGGAAGATGCAAAAGCAGAAACTCCTGATAAAACCATCAGATCTCGTGAGACTAATTCACTATCATGAGAATAGCATGGGAAAAACTGGCCCCCATGATTCAATTACCTCCCCCGGGTCCTCCCACAACACATGGGAATTCTGGGAGATATAATTCAAATTGAGATTTTGGTGGAGACACAGCCAAATCATATCATTATGCCTCTGGCCCCTCCAGATCTCATGTCCTCACATTTCAAAACCAATCATGCCTTCCCAACAGTCCCCCAAAGTCTTAACTCATTTCAGCATGAACCCAAAAGTCCACAGTCCAAAGTCTCATCTGAGACAAGCCAAGTCCCTTTTGCCTATGAGCCTGTAAAATCAAAAGCAAGTTAGTTACTTCCTAAACACAGTGAGGGTCCAGGTATTGGCTAAATACAGCCACTCCAAATGGGAGAAATTGGCCAAAACGAAGGGGTTAAAGGGCCCATGCAAGTCCCAAATCCAGCAGGGCAGTCAAATTGTAATGCTCCAAAATGATCTCCTTTGACTCCAGGTCTCACATCCAGGTCACGCCGATGCAAGAAGGTGGGTTCCCATGGTCTTGAGCGGCTCCACCTCTGTGGCTTTGCAGGGTACAGCCTCCCTCCCGGTTTCTTCCACGGGCTGGCATTGAGTGTCTGTGGCTTTTCCAGGTGCACTGTGCAAGCCATCAGTGGATCTCCCATTCTGGGGTCTGTAGGACGGTGGCCCTCTTCTCATGGCTTCCATTAGGTGCTGTCCCATTAGGGACTCTGTGTGGGGGCTGTGGACCCACATTTCCCTTCTGCACTGCCCTAGCAGAGGTTCTCCATGAGGGCCCAGCCCCTGCAGCACACTTTTGCCTGGGCATCCTGGTGTTTCCATACATCTTCTGAAATCTAGGTGGAAGTTCCCAAACCTCAATTCTTGATTTCTGCATACCTGAAGGCTCAATACCATGTGGAAGTTGCCAAGATTTGAGGCTTGCACCCTCTGAAACCATGGGCCAAGCTGTTCCTTGGCCCCTTTTAGCAATGGCTAGAGTAGCTGGGATGCAGGGCACCAAGTCCCTAGGCTGCGCACAGCATGAGGACCCTGGGCCCAGCCCATGAAACCATTTTTTCCTCCTAGACTTCCAGGTCTGTGATGGGAGAGGCTGCCATGAGACCTATGACATGCCCTGGAGACATTTTCCCCATTGTCTTGAGGATTAACATTAGGATCCTTGTTACTTATGCAAATTTCTGCAGCCAGCTTAAATTTCTCCTCAAAAAAATGGGTTTTTCTTTTCTACTGAATTGTCAGACTGCAAATTTTCTGAACTTTTATGTTCTGTTTCCCTTTTAAAATGGAATGCTTTTAACAGCGCCCAAGTCACCTTTTGAATGCTTTGCTGCTTAGAAATTTCTTCCACCAGATACCCTAAATCATCTCTCTCAAGTTCAAAGTTCCACAAATCTCTAGGGAAGGGGCAAAATGCAGCCAGTCTCTTTGCTAAAACATAACAAGAATCACCGTTGCTCCAGTTCCCAACCAATTCCTCATCTCCATCTGGGACCACCTCAGCCTGGACCTTATTCTTAGTATCACTATCAGCATTTTTGTCAAAGCCATTCAACAAGTCTCTAGGAAGTTTCAAGCTCTCCCACATTTTCCTGTCTTCTTCTGAGCCCTTCAAACTGTACCAACCTCTGCTTGATACCCAGTTCCAAAGCTACTTCCACATTTTCAGGTATCTTTTCAGCAACACCCCACTGTATTAGTACCAATTTACTGTATTTGTCCATTTTCACACTACTGATAAAGATATACCCAAAACTGGGAAGAAAAAAAGGTTTAATTGGCTGGGCACGGTGGCTCACGTCCGTAATTTCAGCACTTTGGGAGGTCGGGGTGGGCGAATCATGAGGTCAGGAGATCGAGACCATCCTGGATAACACAGTGAAACCCCATCTCTACTAAAAAATACAAAAAATTAGCCAGGCCTGGTGCCTGTAGTCTCAGCTACTCAGGAGGCTGAGGCAGGAGAATGGTGTGAACCTGGGAGGCGGAGCTTGCAGTGAGCCAGGATTGCACCACTGCACTCCAGCCTGGGTGACAGAGCAAGACTCCATCTTAAAAAAAAAAAAAAAAAAAAAAGAGAGAGAGAGAGAGAGAAAGGGGTTTAATTGGACTTACAGTTCCACGTGGCTGGGAAGACCTCAGAATCATAGCAGGAGTTGAAAGGCACTTCTTACATGGCAGCAGCAAGAGAAAAAGTGAGGAAAATGCAAAAGCAGAAACCCCTGATAAACCCATCAGATCTCGTGAGACTTACTCACTATCACAAGAATAGCATGGGAAAAACTGGCCCCCATGATTCAATTACCTCCCCCTGGGTCCTTTCACAACATGTGGGAATTCTGGGAGATACAATTCAAGTTGAGATTTGAGTGAGGACACAGCCAAACCTATCAGAGGGGGTATAGAGGAGGAATGGTTTCAGGATGATCCAAGTGCATTACATTTATTTTGCACTTTAGTTCTATTATTATTACATTGTAAAATATAATGAAATAATTATACAACTCACCATAATGTAGAAACCTTGGGATCCCTGAGCTTGTGTTGCTGCAACTAGAAAGTCTCATCTGGGGGTGATGGGAGACAGTGACAGATCATCAGGCATTAGATTCTCATAAGGAGTGCACAACATCGATCCCTCCTGTGCACAGTTCAAAATAAGGTTTATGCTCCTATGAGAATCTAATGCCACTGCTGATCTGACAGAAGGTGGAGCTCAGGCAGTAATGAGAGTGATGGGGAGTGACTGTAAATACAGATGAAGTTTTGCTCACTTGCCTGCCACTCACCTCCTGCTATGCAGCCTGGTTCCTAACAGGCTACAAAACTGGTACTGGTCTGTGGACCAGGGGCTGGGGACCGCTGTGCTAAAGTATTTACTTCACTACAGTTTTTGATACTGGATGGCCTTGGAGAGCAATGCCCCAAAATGAAGGCTGCAGAAGCAGCTCTCTCTGACCTCCTGCCCTCCTGTCTCTGACCTCTCATTCTCCCCTGAGGCTAGCAATAGAAACTAGAATCCCTCTTCCCCAAGTCAGGTCATAGAATCTAGAACCCCTTTTTCCCAAAGCCGGCCACATAACCTAAAAATGTTGTTCTAACTTTTCCTTTATCTTTCTGTGTAAAAACTGACGGTAAATAAATTAATCTGACTTACCTTATTTGACTGTAGGTCATAAGACTCTCATTCTAGAGAGGGTTATGCCCCATACCCAGAAGGAAGGAATGCTGCTTAGAGAGGCCAAGAAGAATCTAGACAGACAGGACTTGCTGCATTTTCCCACTCAGTCTATTGGTATTAGATGACACCCTTGTTGTCCAATCACAGTTCTACATGGCAGTTCATACTTTATTGAACCTAAGCATATAAATGGACAGTTTCCTCTGTACCTTTGGGTATTCATTTTGAAGGCACTCATGGCATGTAAAACTATGACCAAGTAAATTTCTATGCCTTTGCTCCTATTAATATGCCTTTTGTCAATTGAGAACCTTTAGAGGTTGAAGTGGAAGATCTTCCCGTGGCTCCTTTAATACTTTGAGTACCATTTGTCAAAAAAGTAAATATGTATAATATTGTGAGCTACACGGTTTCTGTTAAGAAGCTATTTAAAGACTGTTGAAAATATCTAAAACCTTACTTACCATTATTTCTTCCCAAGACAAATCTTTCCAAGGCATTTTTTGCAGGGAGGAGTTACTAATACAGAGTAGAAATAACCCTTTTCTATAGGATGTCTCCGTTGTCTCAGTTAAGTTCTGCTGGAGTTTGTGGTGGGTCAACTTGAGGAAGATAACACCACATAGACTTGAATCCCCTTCCCTGTATAATTCTAGTTTCAAGTAGACTCCAAAGAGGATATGGAGCAGAAGTGAGGCAGCGGCCAGTACACTCTGAATGAAGTGGTGAGAAGTAGATGCTGGTGTTCCCAGCTCATCTTCACTCTTCTCTATTCTGTGTCCAGTTCCTCTGTCCCAGTGGACACTGTTGACCAACGGCAGCCTGGGGCCCGCCAGCAAATGTTTGGCAGCAAACTCACAGAAGCAGCTGCCACACAGAGGCACGCTCCCCAAGGCCCTGCATGGCCTCCCCTTCCCATCCACCTCAGACTTCCTGACCACTGACTCTTCTGATGCCCCCACTCCTGCCTTCCCCCACTCCCCCAGCTCCTTCTACACTGGAAAAGCTCTCATTCCTGTAATAAACCCCTGGTCCCGTGGCTCACAGTGGTTCCCTGACTGATACAGGTACATACTGTAGACACTCCAAGTGACGAAGAAAACTTGAAAAATGATTCTCCAGTAAATGTGATTTTTCTTGTAAGTAATTTCCTTATGGGAACATTGAACTGGAATACAAAGTATCTGTCATTAATTAGTTCTGTTTTTTAAAAACATCCTAGACCATTGCTCCTTAAATCCTTTTATTAATACTAAAGAAGACTTGGGGGTGGGGAAACAACACATATATGCATAGATTGTCTAAAATGCATTAAAGTTACTCAAATTTCTTATGGACTTTTCCCCCTGAGGAAGAAGAAAATGTTTCTATAGTCAGGGAAGTAGTCCTATTTGGTGTAGCTTTCTCTTTCAGTCAAGCAGTTTCTTTCCAGATTTAATAAACAGCTTTCAAAAGGGGTATAAAAGTGTCTGCTCAAAAGCCTGCAGTCTGTTATTTGTGGAAGTGCCTGTGGATTCACAGACCTGTTTCCAGAGGGTTGGATTATCATCTTGTGATAACTCATTGCTCAGCACTGAGTAATACAGTTCTGTGGGCAAACAAAAAAGCCATTCTTTTTTGGTGACAAAAGATGAAGCTAGTTATTAACAATTTGATACAAAAGAAGTAAAAAGGACTGGAAATGAGGAGTCAAGCCAGGTTTGGCATCTATTATTCACACAAAACCTTCTAGTAATGACAACTACCCCAATCATAGAAAACTCCTATTCAGAGGACTCATTATCTTGCTTCACTGTCAAAAGTATAGATGATAGATAACATCCAATGACTGTCAAAATTAAAATCAAATCAATTTTAATGAAAGAAAATAGACCATTTCTGTCTGTTGATTCCAGGGAAAATGTAGGATGATGAATTTCTGAAACCCTTAATTTATCATTTCACCCTAAAAAGTACCTGTTTTTGCAAATACTTTCTATATTGTCAACATCCTTTAAGAAAAAAAAAAAAGAAGTATATCTGCTTAAATACTAAGCACTATTTCTCTGAATTCCAGTCTACTGAGTTTATTCCCAGAGACATTTTTTTCTATATTATCTCAGAGTTGCAGGCTTCATCAAAGGTCATCAGATCCACTGATTTTTGTCAAATATCCCCATGTTATTTCATCTGATAAACTATAATTTGCTATTGGCCTTTTGAAATTTTAAAGAATGGGAAACAATAGCTGTTTTTTTCTAAAATAAACAACAACCTCCACTAAAAATTAAACAAAACTCAAACAAATAAAAATCAAAGGAAAAATATGAGAAGCTCACAATTCAGAAGGCTTAATCTCATTTAATAGTTAATCTGTATTTCTTTTTATTTATTTTCCACGTGAATACGGGGCCAAATTCTCCATAAACGTTAACATAATGAGAACAAAGGAACACATGTGACAATTTCCTTCTGAAGTTAATATTTTAAAAATGAATTTATCTCATATCGCAAAGATCATACACTATTTACAAACAGTGGAAGGCTGAAGCCAACCATGTCTATTAGCCAGATGTTATTTTACTATTCTTTTAAAGGAATACTTAATTTTATGACACCACTGTGGCCCTTCAGAACTGTGGAGGACATGAATGTATTAATATAATGCATTTTTCTGTTTCTTGAAATATGTAGAAAACAAAACACCAAAATAAGTGAGTATCAGATGGCTGGGCCCACGGTTCCATGTGCCTTACCACAGCAGATCTGAACCCTAAGCAGCATTTTATTTATTAGTGTCATTACTTTATTTATCCCTAGTATGGCTCAGGAACAAATACTTTGATGTTTTCACATTTCCACAGCAGATAAGTGACCAGCATGGTTCTTGTCGAATGAAAGGCAGTCAGTATATACTGGCAAAAAAAAATGGATCTGAGAGAGAAAGCAACCAAAATAAACTAATTTGAATAACACCCTACATTGCTCCCAGTCATCTCAATGTCTTCGTTTTTAAAAGGGCTAGTACCCCATGTTTGGTGATTGCAGCCTATGTCTCGATACCCTCTGTCCCTGAAGGTTCAGACAACCTCTGAAGCTACTATTTACTGCGAGCACTTGGCTTAAAGATGTAGCAAAAGGTTTGGCTAAAAGTTTATCTGAATCAGCTATTTTAGAAATAATTTATGAGTAAATACCTACTCTAATGTTTGTGTAATAAAATGTATATATATATTTTCCATGTTAGAAGCCTACCAAGGGGATCAATGCTAGTGATTTAAAGACACTGAGTTTCAGGAAGCTCCTATAAATCTGTTACTATGACACTAGTACTTCAGTAGGAAAATAAGGAAAGGGCATTAATGGACTGGTTACTGAGGAGTAAAAAAAAGTACAGTGTAGTTCCCATATTACTTTTCTGTGCAGATGCTACATATAAAATGAAATAGTCAGTTTTGCCAGTAATAAAAATCATAAATAAAAGCAAAATACAATTTTTGGATAACAGAATAGCAAGTGATTATTTTCTTTTTCCCTTATTTTTCCTCCTTTCTTCCTTCTTCCTTCCTTCCTTTTTCCCTGCTATATTTTTCTTGCTTTTTGTTGATAGATGGAAACTAAGTTGGTTCAAACTTTTTGAATAGTCATTTAACATCTTCCAAAAGCTTTTAAATGTTCATCATTACAGGTGAAAATGGGCATTCGAATACTCTATTCATCAGAGTATAACATTAAAAAAAACTTCAAAAATGAAAATTTAGAAATATATTTTAGTACTTCAAATGTTTACATCTATTGAACATTTCCACTTACATTAGTTTTTTCTAAAAGAAAATAGTCTCGCAAATGTGCAAGGGTACATAATGGAGAGAATCTGATAACAATCCCAACATCTATCAATCAGTAAAGGAAGTGTTAAATGAAACTCTAGTTCATCCGTAAAATGTAATAGTAGGCAGGGATTATGAAACTAACACATCTGAGTATATTGATGGAAACATTGTTCAATATATAATGGCAAATTGAAAAATAAAAAGTAAATTGCAAAACAGTATCCTAAAGGTAGTCTAATTTTTAAATTTTAATATTAAGAATAATAGGGGGAGGTTTCAAGATGGTCGAATAGGAACAGCTCCAGTCTACAGCTCCCAGCATGAGTGATGCAGAAGATGGGTGATTTCTGCATTTCCAACTGAGGTTCCAAGTTCATCTCACTGGGGCTTGTCAGACAGTGGGTGCAGGACAGTCGGTGCAGCCCACAGACCATGAGCCAAAGCAGGACGAGGAGTCGCCTCACCCAGGAAGTGCAAGGGGTAGGGGAATTCCCTTTCCTAGCCAAGGGAAGCCGTGACAGACGGCACCTGGAAAATTGGGTCACTCCCACCCTAATACTGCGCTTTTCCAATGGTCTTAGCAAACGGCATACCAGATTATATCCCGTGCCTGGCTTGGAGGGTCCCATGCCCACGGAGGCTTGCTCACTGCTAGCACAGCAGTCTGGGATCAAACTGCAAGGCCGCAGTGAGGCTGGGGGAGGGGTGCCCGCAATTGCTGAGGCTTGAGTAGGTAAACAAAATGGCCAGGAAGCTCGAACTGCATGGAGCCCACTGCAGCTCAAGGAGGCCTACCTGCCTCTGTAGACTCCACCTCTGGGGGCAGGGCATAGCTGAACAAAAGGCAGCAGAAATTTCTGCAGACTTAAATGTTCCTGTCTGACAGCTTTGAAGAGAGTAGTGGTTCTCCCAGCATGGAGTTTGAGATCTCAGAACAGACAGACTGCCTCCTCAAGTGGGTCCCTGACCCCTGAGTAGCCTAACTGGGAGACACCTCCCAGTAGGGGCCGACTGACATCTCATATGGTCAGGTGCCCCTCTGAGTTGAAGCTTCCAGAGCAACAATCAGACAGCAACATTTGCCACTCTGCAATATTTGCAGTTCTGCAGCTTCCGCTGGTGATACCCAGGCAAACAGGGCCTGGAGTGGACCTCCAGCAAACTCCAACAGACATGCACCTGAGGGTCCTGACTGTTAGAAGGAAAACTAACAAACAGAAAGGACATCCACACCAAAAACCCATCTGTATGTCACCATTATCAAAGACCAAAGGTAGATAAAACCACAAAGATGGGGAGAAACCAGAGAAGAAAACCTGAAAATTCTAGAAATCAGAGCGCCTCTTCTCCTCCAAAGGAACGCACCTCCTCATCAGCAATGGAACAAAGCTGGACAGAGAATGACTTTGACGAGTTGAGAGAAGAAGGCTTCAGATGATCAAACTTCTCTGAGCTAAAGGAGGAAGTTCAAACCCATTGCAAAGAAGTTAAAAACCTTGAAAAAAAATTAGACGAATGGCTAACTAGAATAACCAATGCAGAGAAGTCCTTAAAGGACCTGATGGAGGTGAAAACTATTGCACGAGAACTACGTGAAGAATGCACAAGCCGCAGTGGCCGATGTGATCAACTGAAAGAAAGGGTATCAGTGATGGAAGATGAAATGAATGAAATGAAGTGAGAAGAGAAATTTAGAGAAAAAAGAATAAAAAGAAATGATCAAAGCCTCCAAGAAATATGGGACTATGTGAAAAGACCAAATCTACATCTGATTGGTGTACCTGAAAGTGACGGGGAGAATGGAACCAAGCTGAAAAGCACTCTGCAGGATACTATCCAGAAGAACTTCCCCAACCTAGCAAGGCAGGCCAACATTCAAATTCAGGAAATACAGAGAAAGCCACAGAGATACTCTTCGAGAAGAGCAACTCCAAGACACATAATTGTCAGATTCACCAAAGTTGAAATGAAGGAAAAAATGTTAAGGGCAGCCAGAGAGAAAGGTCAGGTTACCCACAAAGGGAAGCCCATCAGACTAACAGGAGATCTCTCAGCAGAAACTCTACAAGCCAGAACAGAGTGGGGGCCAATATTCAACATTCTTAGAGAAAAGAATTTTCAAACCAGAATTTCATATCCAGCCAAACTAAGCTTCATAAGTGAAGGAGAAATAAAATACTTTACAGACAAGCAAATGCTCAGAGATTTTGTCACCACCAGGCCTGCCCTAAAAGAGCTCCTGAAGGAAGCACTAAACATGGAAAGGAACAACCAGTACCAGCCACTGCAAAAACATGTCAAATTGTAAAGACCACTGATGCTAGGAAGAAACTGCATCAACTAATGAGCAAAATAACCAGCTAACATCATAATGACAGGATCAAATTCAAAAATAACAATATTAACCTTAAATGTAAATGGGCTAAATGCTCCGATTAAAAGACACAGACTGGCAAATTGGGTAAAGAGTGAAAACCCATCAGTGTGCTGTATTCAGGAAACCCATCTCACGTGCAGACACACACATAGGCTCAAAATAAAGGAATGGAGGAAGATCTACCAAGCAAATGGAAAACAAACAAAAGCAGGGGTTGCAATCCTAGTCTCTGATAAAACAGACTTTAAACCAAACAAGATCAGAAGAGACAAAGAAGGCCATTACATAATGGTAAAGGGATCAATTCAACAAGAAGAGCTAACTATCCTAAATATATATGCACCCAATACAGGAGCACCCAGATTCATAAAGCAAGTCCTGAGAGACCTAAAAAGAGACTTAGACTCCCGCACAATAATAATAGGAGACTTTAACACCCCATTGTCAACATTAGACAGATCCACAAGACAGAAAGTTAACAAGGATATCCAGGAAATGACCTCAGCTCTGCACCAAGCAGACCTAATAGACATCTGCAGAACTCTCCACCCCAAATCAACAGAATATACATTCTTCTCAGTGCCACATCACACTTATTCCAAAATTGACCACATAGTCGGAAGTAAAGCACTCCTCAGCAAATGTAAAAGAACAGAAATTATAACAAACTGTCTCTCAGACCACAGTGCAATCAAATTAGAACTCAGGATTAAGAAACTCACTCAAAACCGCTCAACTACATGGAAACTGAACAACCTGCTCCTGAATGACTACTGGGTACATAACAAAATGAAGGCAGAAATAAGGATGTTCTTTGAAACCAACAAGAACAAAGACACAACATACCAGAATCTCTGGGACACATTCAAAGCAGTGTGTAGAGGGAAATTTATAGCACTAAATGCCCACAAGAGAAAGCAGGAAAGATCCAAAATTGACACCCTAACATCACAATTAAAAGAACTAGAGAAGCAAGAGCAAACACATTCAAAAGCTAGCAGAAGACAAGAAATAACTAAGATCAGAGCAGAACTGAAGGAAATAGAGACACAAAAAACCCTTCAAAAAATTAATGAATCCAGGAGCTTGTTTTTTGAAAACATTAACAAAATTGATAGACTGCTAGCAAGAGTAATAAAGAAGAAAAGAGAGAAGAATCAAATAGATGCAATAAAAAATGATAAAGGGGATATCACCACCAATCCCACAGAGACACAAACTACCATCAAAGAATACTATAAGCACCTCTATGCAAATAAACTACAAAATCTAGAAGAAATGGATAAATTCCTGGACACATACACCCTCCCAAGACTAAACCAGGAAGAAGTTGAATCCCTGAATAGAACAATAACAGGCTCTGAAATTGAGTCAATAATTAAGAGCTTACCAACCAAAAAAAAGTCCAGGACCAGATGGATTCACAGCCAAATTCTACCAGAGGTACAAGGAGGAGCTGGTACCATTCCTTCTGAAACTATTCCAATCAATAGAAAAAGAGGGAATCCTCCCTAACTCATTTTATGAGGCCAGCATCATCCTGATACCAAAGCCTGGCAGAGACACAACAAAAAAAGAGAATTTTAGACCAATATCCCTGATGAACATTGATGCAAAAATCCTCAATAAAATACTGGCAAACCGAATCCAGCAGCACATCAAAAAGCTTATCCACCATGATCAAGTGGGCTTCATCCCTGGGATGCAAGGCTGGTTCAACATATGCAAATCAATAAACATAATCCATCATATAAACAGAAGCAAAGACAAAAAGAACATTATCATCTCCATAGATGCAGAAAAGGCCTTTGACAAAATTCAACAACCCTTCATGCTAAAAACTCTCAATAAATTAGGTATTGATGGGATGTATCTCAAAATAATAAGAGCTATGTATGACAAACCCACAGCCAATATCATACTGAATGGGCAAAAACTGGAAGCATTCCCTTTGAAAACTGGCACAAGACAGGGATGCCCTCTCTCACCACTCCTATTCAACATAGTGTTGGAAGTTCTGGCCAGGGCAATCAGGCAGGAGAAAGAAATAAAGGGTATTCAATTAGGAAAAGAGGAAGTCAAATTCTCCCTGTTTGCAGACGACATGATTGTATATTTAGAAAACCCCATCGTCTTAGCCCAAAATCTCCTTAAGCTGATAAGCAACTTCAGCAAAGTCTCAGGATACAAAATCAATGTGCAAAAATCACAAGCATTCTTATACACCAATAACAGACAAACAGAGAGCCAAATCATGAGTGAACTCCCATTCACAGTTGCTTCAAAGAGAATAAAATACCTAGGAATCCAACTTACAAGGGATGTGAAGGACCTCTTCAAGGAGAACTGCAACCCATTGCTCAATGAAATAAAAGAAGACACAAACAAATGGAAGAACATGCCATGCTCATGGATAGGAAGAATCAATATCGTGAAAATGGCCATACTGCCCAAGGTAATTTATAGATTCAATGACATCCCCATCAAGCTACCAATGACTTTCTTCACAGGATTGGAAAAAACTACTTTAAAATTCATATGGAACCAAAAAAGATCCCACGTTGCCAAGACAATCCTAAGCCAAAAGAACAAAGCTGGAAGCATCACACTACCTGACTTCAACCTATACTACAAGGCTACAGTAACCAAAACAGCATGGTACTGGTACCAAAATGGAGACATAGAAAAATGAAACAGAACAGAACCCTGAGAAATAATACCACACATCTACAACCATCTGATCTTTGACAAACCTGACAAAAACAAGCAATGGGGAAAGGATTCCCTGTTTAATAAATGGTGCTGGGAAAACTGGCTAGCCATATGTAGAAAACTGAAACTGGACCCCTTCCTTACACCTTATACAAAAATTAATTCAAGATGGATTAAAGACTTAAATGTCAGACCTAAAACCATAAAAACCCTAGAAGAAAACCTAGGCAATACCATTCAGGACACAGGCATGGGCAAGGACTTCATGTCTAAAACACCAAAAGCAATGGCAACAAACGTCAAAATTGAGAAATGGAATCTAATTAAACTAAAGAGCTTCTGCACAGCAAAAGAAACTACCAACAGAGTGAACAGGCAACCTACAAAATGGGAGAAAATTTTTGCAATCTACTCATCTGACAAAGTGCTAATATCTAGAATCTACAAAGAACTTAAACAAATTTACAAGAAAAAATCAAACAACCTCATCAAAAAGTGGGTGAAGGATATGAACAGACACTTCTCGAAAGAAGACATTTATGCAGCCAACAGACACATGAAAAAATGCTCATCATCACTGGCCATCAGAGAAATGCAAATCAAAACCACAAGGAGATACCATCTCACACCAGTTAGAATGGCGATCATTAAAAAGTCAGGAAAGAACAGGTGCTGGAGAGGATGTGGAGAAACAGGAACACTTTTACACTGTTGGTGGGACTGTAAACTAGTTCAACCATCGTGGAAGTCAGTGTGGCGATTCCTCAAGGATCTAGAACTACAAATACCATTTGACCCAGCCATCCCATTACTGGGTATATACCCAAAGCATTATAAATCATGCTGCTATAAAGACACATGCACACGTATGTTTATTGTGGCACTATTCACAATAGCAAAGACTTGGAACCAACCCAAATGTCCATCAATGATAGACTGGATTACGAAAATGTGGCACATATACACCATGGAATACTATGATCCATAAAAAAGGATGAGTTCATGTCCTTTGTAGGGAAATGGATGAAACTGGAAACCATCATTCTCAGCAAACTCTCACAAGGACTGAAAATCAAACACCGCATGTTCTTACTCACAGGTGGGCATTGAACAATGAGAACACATGGACACAGGGTGGGGAACACCACACACTGGGGCCTGTCGTGGGGTTGGGGGAGGGGAGAAGGATAGCATTAGGAGATATACCTAATGTAAATGACGAGTTAATGGGTGCAGCACACCAACATGCTACATGTATACATATGTAACAAACCTGCATGTTGTGCACATGTACCCTAGAAGTTAAAGTATAAGAATAAAAAAGAATAAATTTAAAACAGAATAATACATAGTAGCATGTCTATTTCTGAAACATTTAGATTTTTAGAAATTTATATTTCATTTATAATTGGGGAAAATGTGTGTGTGTGTGTGTGTGTGTGTGTGTGTGTGTGTGTGGGTGCGCTGAAGAATTTGACTCAGAAATTCCATTTCTAGAAATTTTTTCCTAATAATGAATAATATGCTTCTTACAAGAACTTATTTAAGTGGAGAATGAGTTGAATATTGCATGCATATACTCAAATTCTATTCAGTAAATTTCAGTGATGTTTTAAGATTTTTTGAAATTAAAATTATATATATATTTATTTATATATATATATTTATTTATATATATATATATATATTTTTTTTTTTTTGACATGGAGTCTCCCTCTGCAGCCAGGCTGGACTGCAGTGGTGCGATCTCGGCTCACTGCAACCTCCATCTCCCGGGTTCAAGAGATTCTCCTGCCTCAGCCTGCCGAATAACTGGGACTACAAGCACGTGCCACCAAGTCCAGCTAATTTTTGTATTTTTAGTAGAGACGGGGTTTCACATGTTGGCCAGGATGATCTCTATCTCCTGTCCTCATGATCCACCCACCTTGGCCTCCCAAAGTGCTGAGATTGCAGGTGTGAGCCACCGTGCCCAGCCTGATATATTTTTAATTTAGATGGGTTATAAGGTTTACGTCTACTGTGACATCCTTTTTGCAGACAACTTCTATAAATGTTCCTTATGTTTGTAAGCAAAATACATACGTGAACATAGATAAATGTATATACACATGCAAATAAAAACATCTGGCAGAATGTGAATGGTGGTTAATTTTTTTGTTGTTCCAGTTATGAATACTTTTTTCCATCTTTGTTTAATGATAATTTCATTTTTTCCTCAGAAGGCATATACAAATTTAAAATTTTTTAAACACATGGATAGAAACTGACAATGACAGTAATAGAAATACATGTCTAATAAATAAGGTATATGTATTAGGATAATCAAAGAAATATAAATTAAAGCAATAATGACATGCAAATTTCCACTATAACACTGGCAAAGATTTCTGAGAGGACTCACTGGTGGCACGAGTTGAGAGACTGCCCTTGCATTGCGCTTGAAGGATAGATTGGTCTAGACCTTCTGGAAAGCAATTCAGCAATAGTTACGAACCTTCAAAATGCTCACAAGTTGGGCCATTAACTTTGCTTCTGAGAATATAACCTAAGAAAGTAACGAGTTAAGGGTAAAGATGTATGACATTTGGCCATTTAAAATTGTGAAAAATAAGAAATAAATGAAGTACTCAATCATGGGGGACATAGCTAAATCATAATCATATCTGACCTACTCATAATTAGGAGAAAAATTATGTATGTATGTGTGTTAAACCACTTAACATGATTTCAAATAAGTTGGATAATGATCATGTTATAATAATGTGAAGTGGAAAATAAAGAGCCAGGACTACAAATTATACACGTAGCATAATTTTTAAAAATGCAAGAAAATACATTAACATGTAATATTTTTCTCACTCACTATTTGTGGAATAATTGAAAGTAGTTTGCATGTCTATCTTTTTACTCTGTATGTTTTAAAAAAAATGTGTCTTTAAGAATTATTTGAAAATTCATTGAGTGAAAGGCAAGGGCAAACACAAAAATTTATACATGATGCAGGCTCCAGGAAACATATGGGCAAAGGGTTTTCACGATACACACTGGGCCAGGCTCTTGCCATCCCACGTACAGCAGCCCTGGGCCAGGTATGGCTGCATACACCATGCTTTGTGCTCCTCTAGAGCAACCCTAAACCCTTGTGTGATATAGAAAAACAGATATTTGATCTTCATTTCTTGGCCCACGATTCCTAAAATCCTTGTAATCTTCAAAGCGACAAGTGGCTTTTTGTATACTAGTGAGTTGACCAGTGGCTGGCCCTAGGTATCTTTAGGATGGTGGCTTTTCACTGGAAAGACCAAGACAGGATTTGAGGGTTGGGACTTTCAGCCCCACTCCCCAATTTCTGGGGTGATCACCAATGGTTTGATCACCAATGGTTTAATCAATCATGCCTACATAATGAAGCTTCCATAAAAACACAAAAGGACTATTCAGAGAGCTTCCAGATAGCTGAACACATGGAGGTTCCTGGAGCAGGAAGCCTGGGGAGGACATGGAAGCTCTTCATCCCTTCCCATATACCTCACCCTATGCATCTCTTCATCTGTATCCTTTGTAATATCCTCTGCAATAAACCAGTAAATGTAAGTAAGTATTCACCTGAGGTCTAGGAGCCACTCTAACAAATTAATCAAACCCTGGGAGGCATTATGGGAATCCCAATTTATACCTGGTCAGTCAGAAAAACAGGTGAAACAACCTAAAGCTTTAAATGGGCAGCAGAAGTGAGGATTAGTCTTGTGAGACTGTAGCTCAACCTGTGGGGTCTGAATGCTATCTCTATTGGAATTGAACTGGAGGACACCCCGCTGGTGACTACTGCAGAATTGATTGCTTACTTGATATAGAGGGTGAAAATCCCCACACATTTGGTCATGGAAGTCTTCTGTGTTGATTATTTTAGTAAGGGTATAGGAGAAACTGAGTTTCGTTTTTTCCCTGTATCCTCAGACCTTGCCACCTCACATATTTATACAGGAGTTGTGAGAGGCAGCAGCAACCAATCAATGAAGAAGAACCGGAGGTTTACCATTAAGGTTTCTGCGATCAGAAGTGTGGTCCCTGCATCAGCAGCATCAGAATCACCTAAGGACTTATACATGTAAATTCTCAGGCCCCACCCCAGACCTATGGAATCAGACACTCTGGAGGTGGAACCCAGCAATCTATGTTTTGAAAAGTCTCACAGAGATTTGGTGCGTACTGAAGTCTGGGAACCACTGGCTTTGCTGATGTGAGAAACCTTCTGTCCTCAGGAGGACAGGGCTGAAATTATGCATATCTGTGCTGGTTTTGGCTGCAAGCATTGAAGCTAGAGGATCTGAAGGAGAGTCTGGGATCTTTCACTGGGCAAATTGCTGGTCTTGCCACAAACGTCATGGCTTCAAATGGCTTTAAAACCAAAGGCAGAATGTTGCTTATTGTGTTTGCTTTGGTTCTGAAAAGGAATTGGGAAATGGTCTGATTTCTACATTTTTAAAGAAGAGAAAAAGACATTCAGCAAGGTGAAGTGATTTGATGGGGCCTCATCATCAGACAGAATCTGTACTGAAGTCAGCTATCAGTTTTAAATCACACATTGTTGTCTACCAAGCAAAAAATCATAATGGGAGTCTTTCACATTTATTCTTCTAAAAAGTCAATATTCTTTTATACCCCAAACAAATGAATAGAAACATTTATTTTATTTAATAATATCCCCAGTGTATCTTCCAGTCATGCTGTCGAACATCTGTCTATTTTGAACGGCCCTGTGATATTATCTATTCAAAACATAGCTAAAGAGATGCTGTGAGTTGGAAAAAAAAAAACTGGGAGGCCAAATAATTCATAGTTGAGGAAGCTAAAATACATAGAGATTATTAAATTATGTTAATATTTTAAAATTGTGAGTCCACTAGGATCTTGTTATTCTTAGTCTGGTCAGTGGTGCAGATAGCATTGACATCCTATTTAGGATGGTAAAAAGGCAAGAAATAGCCATTGTGTATGCAACTGACAATGTTGGTTTTTTTTTTTTTTTTTTGAGACGGAGTCTTGCTCTGATGCCCAGGCTGGAGTGCAGTGGCACAATCTCGGCTCACTGCAAGCTCCGCCTCCCGGGTGACAGTGTTGATCTTAAAAGGCATTGGTAGAATTTACCAGCCCTGCAGGTCCAGGGAATGTTGATGATTAGTAACCACAGTCCCTAAGCCAGGAACTCTCAGCCACATCATGAAGACCTGTGTTCATGATTAACACCTTGGTTACCTCTGATGCTTTAGTAAATATAATTGTTCAGTGTCAAAATGGTCTTTCTTCTTAAAATGATGGTGATAATAGATGATAGATGCAGCTTCCCCCCTTCCTTGCAAATGTAAAAGCTAGCCACCCAATGTCAGCCCCTCATATTTTCATTAATAATTTCACTGGCCAGTGAAATTTCAAAATCAGTTTGTAAGGCTCAGTTATGGCATTGACCATCTCTCAACTAAAGTGTTTATTATTAACATGATTATGAAACTTTCAGAATGGAAGAAACATTTTGAGAGCAATATTAAGGAGGTTTTAAAGGTGAAAAATAAATCATGTCAACTTTCTGCACCTAACATAATAAATATTTTCACATGGGGGATATTCCTTTCCAGTCTTTGTTCACATGATTACATATTTTAACACAAATATAATCATGGCATAACTGTAATTTTGAGTCCTGTTTTATCACTTTAGTGCCATATTGTAAACATTCTCATTAGAATGCCATTTGAACAAGAAGTGTTCAGGTGAAAGATATTAAAGCAATGAACCCCCTGAAAAACTGACAACCACGTGAAAAGTTTCTGTTAAAGTCCATATATTTTAAACCACTCAGGAATTGAAGAAAGTGTTTCTTTTGCTTTAAATTTAGCTTTTATTGACAATCCAAAATCAGTAATCATGCACTAAAGCCCCTAAAAAATATGGCGCTGATTTTCAAAGAGAAGATATGCATTGCAAGAGGCAAAAGGGCCTTTTGGATAAAGAAAAAATACTCTCCATTCTTTGCTCTTATTAGGGATTTTGTGATTATGCACATTCTGGTATTTGATGACGTTTCATGGATCTGCAGTGTTAAAAAAATTAAAATGGAGGCAACAGTTTAAATGTACCCCAAGTCCAACCACCCATAACCACATAGGCAAAATTTGTCATCCTGAAAAGCCAGCTCTAATTATAAACAAAACACAAAGCATAAGCTTTACACCCTTGTCAGAATGATTCAGTGAAATGAAACCAATCAGCTAGAAACAAATCAGCTTACACAGCTCTGCTTGCCTTACAAAGAATGTTAATGTATAATAGCCAATTGCAAAAAAGGTCAAAACACTTCCTCCTTTATGCTTTATAAACTGGCTGTAACTGCCATAAGGAGAGCTTCTAACCATCTACACTTCAAAGTCTCCCAGTTGGCAAACAGCTCTTTTGTATACACAATAAAATTTTCTAACTTGATCAGATTTTATTTTTGACAGTAGAAATACTTGACACATTAGGCTAAAATGAGATGTGTGTCTGTGTTCTAAATGGAAAAAATGCTAACTATGTCCAGTCATTCCAACTGATGGTCAAGAGTGAGAAAGATAAACAGATAGCAAGGGACTTGTGGCAAATGACATTTCCCTTTCTTTCTGTTCTCAGAAGCGCACAGGTCATTGTTCCACCAGGATGCTGTATGTAGAGGAAAAAGCCTCACATATGCAGTGTGGATTCTGCTGCCCAGTTCCTGAGCTTCCTCAGGCTATCATCCTTCACACCTTATTCTCCCACTAGACCATGAGCTCCTAAGTCACATATGAGTGCTTTCTTCTTCCTTCTACTCTAAGCTCTAACCATAGTTGTGAACAATGTGGTGCTCACTAGATACTGACTGAATTTCTAAATTAATCATGAAACAAATTCCATGACATTTTTTAAGACAACAGTACAGTTGGCCCTCTGTATTTGTGGGTTCCACATGCAGGGATTCAACCAACTGCAGATCGAAAATATTTGGGAAAAGACAATAAAAAATAATATAACATTTTTAAAAATACAAATAAAAGCAATAAAGTATAACAACTATTTACACAGCAATTTCATTGTATTAGATGTTGTGTATAATCTAGAGATGATTTAAAGTATACGAGAGGATATGTGTACATTATTTGCAAATACTACACCATTTTATGTAAGGGACTAGAACATTTATAGATTTTGGTATCCTTGGGGTCCTGGAAACGATCTTCCGTGGATACCAAGGAACCACAGTATTCATTGACTGTTTTTTAAACCTGTGTTTTCTATCTATGGACCCTCTCCAAGATGCTTCCTTCATCAAAGGGCATATCTAATAAATTGCCTCTCTGATTCAATGTGGCAATTTGTTAAAACAGAAGAACACTTTGAGACCACAAGAGCACCATTTCATCAATTGCCCCTTTGCTCCCACTGTGAAAGCTTCAATGAGCATACTTACAGGCATCATAAAATACCAACTGTGTGGCTTCACTGGGGAGCTGTGCCATTGTCTCAAAACTAACTAGTCTGGATTAATTGTTGTGTGATAGGAATGGAGGAAACATTTTCAGAGGAGCAGTCACTCACAAACACCAATGATGAGAGTATTGACTGGCACAACCTTTCTAGGGGAGCAGGCAACACGTCCGAAAACATCTTGGCACACACAAAAAAATGCACTTCCAGGAATTTGGTCTCAAGGAGTATTTGGGGAAATACACAAAATCTTTTAGTAATATTTATGGTAGTAAAATTTACAGATCTTTTACGAGAATGCTGATCATTTTAATATGTGCATGACACTGAGTTTCCTAAAATCACAGAAATTCAGTGGGGTGGAGCCTGTACCTTTTCCTTCCTGAAGAGGTGTTTTCTATGCAAAGGGGGAATCTGATACATGACAGAGCCCTCATGAATCAGGATGTATCAAATGCTGCATTTGGGAAAAATGAGGGAACACTGGGGTTTCAATTACCAAAGCAACAACTTTTTCTCCTCTAAATTTCCAGACATCTACTTTTACCTAATAGCCAGGAAAAATCAACAGTTAGAAGTTACATGTTAATAGGATATTTGTTTGTTGCCATTGGACAAATACATACTAAGCATTATAAATCAACATAAATATATATGTGTGTGTGCATGTGTTACTATATGTGTGTGTGTGTATACACACACATACAAATATATATAAAACACTTCTTGTTTTTTGTTTGAGATGGAGTCTCACTCTGTGGCCACGCTGCAGTGCAGTGGCATGATCTCGGCTCACTGCAACCTCTACCTCCTGGGCTCAAGCAATTCTCCTGCCTCAGCCTCCTAAGTAGCTGGGATAACAGGCGTGCACCACCACACCTGCGTAATTTTTGTATTTTGTAAATTTTGTATTTTTAGTAGAGACAGGGTTTCACCATGTTGGCCAGCCTGGTCTCCAACTCTTGACTTTAGGTGATCTGCCCACCTCAGCCTCCCAAAGTGCTGGGATTATGGGTGTGAGTCACAGCACCCACCCTATATACAGCACTTCTGCAGGCAATTAAAAATAACTTAAAAGGAGGGTGGAGCCAAGATGGCCAAATAGGAACAGCTCCGGTCTACAGCTCCCAGTGTGAGCAATGCAGAAGATGGGTGATTGCTGCATTTCCATCTGAGGTACCGGGTTCATCTTGCTAGGGAGTGCCAGACAGTGGGTGCAGGTCAGTGGGTGCAGCGCACCGTGTGCGAGCCGAAGCAGGGCGAGGCATTGCCTCACTTGGGAAGCACAAGGGGTCACGGAGTTCCCCTTCCTAGTCAAAGAAAGGGGTGACAGACGGCACCTGGAAAATCGGGACACTCCCACCCTAATACTGCGCTTTTCCAATGGGCTTAAAAAACTGCACACCAGGAGATTATATCCCACACATGGCTCGGAGGGTCCTACGCCCACAGTCTCGCTGATTGCTAGCACAGCAGCTGGAGATCAAACTGCAAGGTGGCAGCGAGGCTAGGAGAGAGGCGCCTGCCATTGCCCAGGCTTGCTTAGGTAAACAAAGCAGCTGGGAAGCTCGAACTGGGTGGAGCCCACAACAGCTCAAGGAGGCCTGCCTGCCTCTGTGGGCTCCACCTCTGGGGGCAGGGCACAGACAAACAAAAAGACAGCAGTAACCTCTGCAGACTTAAATGTCCCTGTCTGACACCTTTGAAGAGAGTATTGGTTCTCCCAGCACGCAGCTGGAGATCTGAGAATGGGCAGACTGCGGTTCATGAAAATCTGCTGTTCTACAGCCACCGCTGTTCTGCAGTCACCGCTGCTGATACCCAGGCAAAAAGGGTCTGGAGTGGACCTCTAGCAAACTCCAACAGACCTGCAGCTGAGGGTCCTGTCTGTTAGAAGGAAAACTAATAAACAGAAAGGACATCCACACCAAAAACCCATCTGTACGTCACCATCATCAAAGACCAAAAGTAGATAAAACTACAAAGATGGGGAAAAAACAGAGCAGAAAAACTGGAAACTCTTAAAAAGCAGAGCGCCTCTCCTCCTCCAAAGGAACGCAGTTCCTCACCAGCAATGGAACAAAGCTGGACGGAGAATGACTTTGACGAGTTGAGAGAAGAAGCCTTCAGACGATCAAACTACTCCGAGCTACAAGAGGAAATTCAAACCAATGGCAAAGAAGTTAAAAACTTTGAAAAAAAAATTAGATGAATGTATAACTAGAATAACCAATGCAGAGAAGTGCTTAAAGGAGATGTTGGAGCTGAAAGCCAAGGCTCGAGAACTACGTGAAGAATGCAGAAGCCTCAGGAGCCGAAGCGATCAACTGGAAGAAAGGGTATCAGTAATGGAAGATGAAATGAATGGAATGAAGCGAGAAGGGGAGTTTAGAGAAAAAAGAATAAAAAGAAATGAACAAAGCCTCCAAGAAATATGGGACTATGTGAAAAGACCAAATCTACGTCTGATTGGTGTGCCTGAAAGTGACGGGGAGAATGGAACCAAGTTGAAAAGCACTCTGCAGGATATTATCCAGGAGAACTTCCACAACCTAGCAAGGCAGGCCAACATTCAAATTCAGGAAATACAGAGAAAGCCACAAAGATACTTCTCAAGAAGAGCAACTCCAAGACACATAATTGTCAGGTTCACCAAAGTTGAAATGAAGGAAAAAATGTTAAGGGCAGCCAGAGAGAAAGGTCAGGTTACCCACAAAGGGAAGCCCATCAGACTAACAGCGGATCTCTCGGCAGAAACTCTACAAGCCAGAAGAGAGTGGGGGCCAATATTCAACATTCTTAGAGAAAAGAATTTTCAACCCAGAATTTCATATTTAGCCAAATTAAGCTTCATAAGTGAAGGAGAAATAAAATACTTTACAGACAAGCAAATGCTCAGAGATTTTGTCACCACCAGGCCTGCCCTAAAAGAGCTCCTGAAGGAAGCACTAAACATGGAAAGGAACAACCAGTACCAGCCACTGCAAAAACATGCCAAATTGTAAAGAGCATCAAGACTAGGAAGAAACTGCATCAACTAATGAGCAAAATAACCAGCTAACATCATAATGACAGGATCAAATTCACACATAACAATATTAACTTTAATTGTAAATGGGCTAAATGCTCCAATTAAAAGACACAGACTGGCAAATTGGATAAAGAGTCAAGACCCATCAGTGTGCTGTATTCAGGAAACCCATCTCACGTGCAGAGACACACATAGGCTCAAAATAAAGGGATGGAGGAAGATCCACCAAGCAAATGGAAAACAAAAAAAGGCAGGGGTTACAATCCTAGTCTCTGATAAAGCAGACTTTAAACCAACAAAGATCAAAAGAGACAAAGAAGGCCATTACATAATGGTAAAGGGATCAATTCAACAAGAAGAGCTAACTATCCTAAATATATATGCATCCAATACAGGAGCACCCAGACTCATAAAGCGAGACCTGAGTGACCTACAAAGAGACTTAGACTCCCACACAATAATAATGGGAGACTTTAACACCCCACTGTCAACCTTAGACAGATCAACGAGACAGAAAGTTAACAAGGATATCCAGGAATTGAACTCAGCTCTGCACCAAGCGGACCTAATAGACATCTACAGAACTCTCCACCCCAAATCAACAGAATATACATTCTTCTCAGTGCCACATCACACTTATTCCAAAATTGACCACATAGTTGGAAGTAAAGCACTCCTCAGCAAATGTAAAGAACACAATGTAAAGAACACAATTTCTTTACAGCAAATGTAAAGAAACTGTCTCTCAGACCACAGTGCAATCAAACTACAACTCAGGACTAAGAAACTCACTCAAAACCGCTCAACTACGTGGAAACTGAACAACCTACTCCTGAATGACTACTGGGTACATAATGAAATGAAGGCAGAAATAAGGATGTTCTTTGAAACCAACAAGAACAAAGACACAACATACCAGAATCTCTGGGACACATTCAAAGCAGTGTGTAGAGGGAAATTTATAGCACTAAATGCCCACAAGAGAAAGCAGGAAACATCAAAAATTGACACCCTAACATCACAATTAAAAGAACTAGAGAAGCAAGAGCAAACACATTCAAAAGCTGACAGAAGGCAAGAAATAACTAAAATGAGAGCAGAACTGAAGGAAATAGAGACACAAAAAATCCTTCAAAAAATTAATGAATCCAGGAGCTGGTTTTTTGAAAAGATCAACAAAATTGATAGACTGCTAGCAAGACTAATAAAGAAGAAAAGAGAGAAGAATCAAATAGACACAATAAAAATTGATAAAGTGGATATCACCACCGATCCCACAGAAATACAAACTACCATCAGAGAATACTACAAACACCTCTACGCAAATAAACTAGAAAATCTAGATGAAATGGATAAATTCCTGGACACACACACCCTCCCAAGACTAAACCAGGAAGAAGCTGAATCTCTGAATAGACCAATAACAGGCTCTGAAATTGTGGCAATAATCAATAGCTTACCAACCAAAAAGAGTCCAGGACCAGATGGATTCACAGCCGAATTCTACCAGAGGAGTAGAATTCTGCCAAATTCTACCAGAGGAGTAGAATTCTACCGAATTCTACAAGGAGGAGCTGGTACCATTCCTTCTGAAACTATTCCAATCAATAGAAAAAGAGAGAATCCTCCCTAACTCATTTTATGAGGCCAGCATCATTCTGATACCAAAGGCTGGCAGAGACACAACAAAAAAAGAGAATTTTTAGACCAATATCCTTGATGAACATTGATGCAAAAATCCTCAATAAAATACTGGCAAACCGAATCCAGCAGCACATCAAAAAGCTTATCCACCATGATCAAGTGGGCTTCATCTCTGGGATGCAAGGCTGGTTCAACACACGCAAGTCAGTAAATGTAATCCAGTATATAAACAGAACCAAAGACAAAAACCACATGATTATCTCAATAGATGCAGAAAAGGCCTTTGACAAAATTCAACAACGCTTCATGCTAAAAACTCTCAATAAATTAGGTATTGATGGCACGTATCTCAATAAGAGCTATCAATGACAAACCCACAGCCAATATCATACTGAATGGGCAAAAACTGGAAGCATTCCCTTTGAAGACTGGCACAAGACAGGGATGCCCTCTCTCACCACTCCTATTCAACATAGTGTTGGAAGTTCTGGCCAGGGCAATTAGGCAGGAGAAGGAAATAAAGGGTATTCAATTAGGAAAAGAGGAAGTCAAATTCTCCCTGTCTGCAGATGACATGATTGTACATCTAGAAAACCCCATCGTCTCAGCCCAAAATCTCCTTAAGCTGATAAGCAACTTCAGCAAAGTCTCAGGATACAAAATCGATGTGCAAAAATCACAAGCATTCTTATACACTAATAACAGACAAACAGAGAGCCACATCATGATTGAACTCCCATTCACAATTGCTTCAAAGAGAATAAAATACCTAGGAATCCAACTTACAAGGGACATGAAGGACCTCTTCAAGGAGAACTACAAACCACTGCTCAATGAAATAAAACAGGATACAAACAAGTGGAAGAACATTCCATGCTCATGGATAGGAAGAATCAATATCGTGAAAATGGCCATACTGCCCAAGGTAATTTATAGATTCAATGACATCCCCATCAAGCTACCAATGACTTTCTTCACAGAATTGGAAAAAACTACTTTAAAGTTCATATGGAACGAAAAAAGAGCCCGCATCACCAAGTCAATCCTAAGCCAAAAGAACAAAGTCGGAGGCATCACGCTACCTGACTTCAAACTATACTACAAGGCTACAGTAACCAAAACAGCATGGTACTGTTACCAAAACAGAGATATAGATCAATGGAACAGAACAGAGCCCTCAGAAATAACGCCGTATATCTACAACTATCTGATCTTTGATAAACCTGAGAAAAACAAGCAATGGGGAAAGGATTCCCTATTTAATAAATGGTGCTGGAAAAACTGGCTAGCCATATGTAGAAAGCTGAAACTGGATCCCTTCCTTACACCTTATACAAAAATTAATTCAAGAAGGATTAAAGACTTACATGTTAGACCTGAAACCATAAAAACCCTAGAAGAAAACCTAGGCATTACCATTCAGGACATAGGCATGGGCAAGGACTTCATGTCTAAAACACCAAAAGCAATGGCAACAAAAGTCAAAATTGACAAATGGGATCTAATTAAACTAAAGAGCTTCTGCACAGCAAAAGAAATTACCATCAGAGTGAACAGGCAACCTACAAAATGGGAGAAAATTTTTGCAACCTACTCATCTGACAAAGGGCTAATATCCAGAATCTACAATGAACTTAAACAAATTTACAAGAAAAAAAACAAACAACCCCATCAAAAAGTGGGCAAAGGATATGAACAGACACTTCTCAAAAGAAGACATTTATGCAGCCAAAACACACATGAAAAAATGCTCATCATCACTGGCCATCAGAGAAATGCAAATCAAAACCACAATGAGATAACCATCTCACACCAGTTAGAATGGCAATCATTAAAAAGTCAGGAAACAACAGGTGCTGGACAGGGTGTGGAGAAATAGGAACACTTTTACACTGTTGGTGGGACTGTAAACTAGTTCAACCATTGTGGAAGTCAGCGTGGCGATTCCTCAGGGATCTAGAACTAGAAATACCATTTGACCCAGCCATCCCATTACTGGGTATATACCCAAAGGACTATAAGTCATGCTGCTATAAAGACACATGCACACATATGTTTATTGCGGCACTATTCACAATAGCAAAGACTTGGAACAAACCCAAATGTCCAACAACGATAGACTAGATTAAGAAAATGTGGCACATATACACCATGGAATACTATGCAGCCGTAAAAAATGATGAGTTCATGTCCTTTGTAGGCACATAGATGAAACTGGAAATCATCATTCTCAGCAAACTATCACAAGGACAAAAAACCAAACACCGCATGTTCTCACTCATAGGTGGGAACTGAACAATGAGAACACATGGACACAGGAAGGGGAACATCACACTCTGGGGACTGTTGTGGGGTGGGGGGATGGGGTAGGGATAGCATTAGGAGATATACCTAATGCTAAATGACGAGTTAATGGGTGTAGTACACCAACATGGCACATGTATACATATGTAACAAACCTGCACATTGTGCACATGTACCCTAAAACTTAAAGTATAATAATAAAATAAAATAAAATAAAAAAATAACTTAAAAAAGAAATAAGAAATGTATCTCTGTCACATTATTTAAAGTTCTATGAGAATGGAACATCTCTGACAGTCCAAACATTTTAACACCGTCTTAAACTTAGCATCACCTTCTTTTATGTGTCTCTTTAAAATACTAGTTATACTATTACTTTCAACTTTTCTGATTGCTGTATTCAAGCTATGTTTGTGGTAACTATGATCTACAAAGCACTATATATGTAAGATTTTTTCCTGAATATATAAAAAGATCTGATTTCCATACCAAGGATTTTGACATCTAATTTGCACAAATAAAACATTAAAAGAGTTTAAACCATACCTCCCCCTACCCCAAAAGGAAAAATCAAATCATAGACATCAACCTGTTTATTGTGAAACCCAAGATTTAAAGAAAAAAAAAAGCAAAAACAACAGAAAAGTTGAAATAAATTTTGTTTGATGTTAGACACAATACGTGGGACTCTATCAACAATTCCATTGCAAGAGGAAAAATCAAATTGGATGTATTTTTTATTAAGATTTTTTCATTCTTAAAAGGCTTATAGTGACTTCAAACTATGAAGGTTTCAATATACTTAATGAACAGAAAACACATTTAATCATTCTTCCTGTCTACTTCCAACAGTAAGGCATTACCTCCTCCAGCCACTAGGCCCAGAGTACCTTCTCTCCACAATATTTTCCCTCTAATGTGGACACAGAATAGTCCATCAAATTCCTCATTTTTCACCCTAACACAACTTAAAAGAATCGGCAAACCAATATTTTGTTTCATGGTCCCTCGTAGCCACAGAAAGCACCCATTGTTCATCTTCGACTTTTCCTTCTGCTTCAGCAATGGTTGATCCTCTGCAGGGGGCAGTGAATGATGGCCCTCAGGCCAAATCTGGGGAATAACCTGCTTTCAATAAATATTTAGCTAAGAAAGCACATAACATAAATTTCACCATCTTAACAATTAAGGATATATAACACATTTCAAGTATTTTTCATCTTGCAAAATGGAAACTCTACGTCTATTAAACAACTCCCTGAAAAACTAAAACTCTGCATCAATTAAACAACTCCCCATTTCTTCATTGCTCCAGCCCCTGGAAAGCACAATTCTACTTTCTGTTCCTGTGAATTTAACTACTTTCAATGCCTTATATGAATGGAGTCATACAATATCTGTCTTCTTGTGACTGGCTTATTTTCAAGGTTAACCCGGGTTATAGCATGTGACAAGATTCCTTCTTTTTAAAAGATGAATAATGCTCCATTCTATGTACATGCCCCATTTTCTTTACTCTTCCGTCCATGGACATTTGGATTGCTTCCACTCTTGGCTATTATGAATCATGCTACAATACACATGGCTATACAAATATCTGAAATCATGCTTTCAGTTCTTTTGAATATATATCCAGAAGCAGGATTGCTGAATTATATGATAATTCTACTTTTTATTTTTTGAGGAATCTCCATAATATTTTCCATAGTGGCTACATCATTATACATTCCCTCCAACAGTGCACAGAAGTTCCAATTTCTGCACATCTTCTCCAACATTTGTTGTTTTCTGTTTTGTTCTTTGTGGGTTTGTTTGTTTTTTAATAGTGGACATCTGAACAGATGGAAGATGATACCTCATTGTGGCTTTGTTTTGCATTTCTCTAATGATTTATAATGTTGAGAGCATAGTTTCATATGCTTGTTGACAATTTCTTTGGAGAAAAGTCTCCCAAATCATTCACTCATTTTTAAATTGGTAACTTTTTTGGTTTTTCTTGAGTTGTAGGAGTTTTAGTATATTCTGTGTACTAACCCCTTATCAAACATGATTTACAAGTATTTTCTCCCTTTTTGTAGGTTGTCTTTCACTCTGAAAATCTAAATTTAATGCCACGAAACTTTTCTCCTGTTTTCTTCCAGGAGTTTGATATTTTTAGGTCATACATTTAGGTCTTTAATCTATTTTTAGCTAATTCTTGAATGTAATGAAATGTAAAGTCCAACTTCATTCTTCATTATTTTGCATGTGGCTATCTAGTTTCCCAACGCTATTTTTTTAAAGAGACTGTACCTTCCCTACTGAGTAGTCTTGGTGCCATTAAAGAAAATCATTTGAACATATACATGAGATTTTATTTTTGGACTCTCCATTCCATTAGTCTACATGCCTGTCTCTATGCCAATACCACATCATTTTAATTACTATAGCTTTATAATATGTTTTGAAATAAAAGAGCTTTGTTCTCTTTTCTTTCAAGATTGTTTTTGCTATTTGTGGTCCCTTATGATTCTATATAAATTTTATAACTTTTTTTCTATTTCTACAAAAAATGCCATTGGGATTTCGTTAGGGATTATATTGAAGCTGCAGATTGCTTTGGGTAGTTTGGACATTTTCCAAACATTAAGCCTTTCAATCCATGAACACAGGGTAGCTTTCCATTTGTTTGTGTCTTCTTTAATTTCTTTCAGTAATATTTTGTAATTTTTATGTATAAACCTTTCATCTCCTTGGTTAAGTTTATATTTAATTATTTTATTCTTATGCTATTATAAATAAAATTGCTTTCTTAATCTCCTTTTTGGATACATTGTTGTTAGTGTATAGAAACAAATGATTTTTGCATGTTGGTTTGTACCCTGCAACTTTGCTCGACATGTTTATTCATTCTGACAGGTGTGTGTGTGTGTGTGTGTGTGTATGTGTGTGTGTGTAATCTTCAGAGCTTTCTATATACAAGATCATGTCACCTGTGAACAAAGATAACTTTTACATCTTCCTCTTCCATTTGAACCACTTTTATTTCGTTTTCTACCCTAATTTCTCTGGCTAGGACTTTACATACTATGAGTATCATTGACTTGTTCCTGATCTTAAAGAAAAAGCTTTCAATTTTGCACCATTGAGTTTCACCACTAAGTTAGCAGTTGGCTTTTCACATATGATCTTTATAATGCTGAGGTTGTTTCCCTCTGTTGTTAGTTTGTTAAGTGAGTTTATCATAAAGAGTATTACATTTTGTCAATGCCTTTTCTGTATCAATTGAGGTGATATTAGGTTTTTATTATTCATTCTGTTAAGGTGATCTATTACTTTGATTTCCATATGTTGAATCATTCTTGCATTCTAGGAATAAATCCACTTAATCATGGTGTATAATCCTTTTAAGGTGGTGCTGAATTTGGATTGCTGTTATTTGGCTGAGAATTCTTATACCAGTATTTATTAGAGGTAATGGTCAGTAGTTTCTTTTTCTTGTAGTATGTTTGGCTCTAGTGTCAGTGTAATACTGGCCTCATATAATGAGTTTGGAAATGCTTCCTCCTCTTCAATTTTTTTAAAGAGTTCCAGGAGAATTGGTATTAATATTTTTTAAATATGTGATAGAATTCTCCAGTGAAGCCATCTGATCTTGGGTTTTCTTGTTGTGTTGTTTTGTTTTGTTTTGCTGGGGGGAGGCTTTTGTTTACTGATTCAGTCACCCTACTAGTTATAAATCTATTCAAATTTTTTATTTATTCATGATTCAATCGTGGTAGGCTGTGTTTTTATAGAAATTTATCCATCTCTTCTGGGTTATCCAATTTATTAGTATGTAATTATTCATATGTTCTCTTATAATTCTTTTGAATGCTGAGGCATCAGTAGAAGTGTCCATTCATTTTAAATTTCAGTCTTTTGAGTCTTCTTTTTTGTTTGTTAATCTAAGACTTTGTCAGTTTTGTTCTTTCTGAATATTCTTTGTTTTGTTGATTATTTTCTATTGTTTTTCCATTATTTATTTTATTGTTTATGCTGTAATTATTTTTCCCTTCCTTCTGCCAGCTTTGGGTTCCATTTGTTCTTATTTTTGTGAATTCTTTTTCGGAGTTCTCTCTTCTTTCTTACATGAGCATCTATGTCTATAAACTTCCTTCTCAAAAGTGCTTTCACTATCTCTGATAAGTTTTGGTACATTGTTTTCATTTCATTTATCTCAAGATCTTTTCTTTTTTAACTTTTATTTTCAGTTCAGGAGTACATGTGCAGGTTTGTTATATAGCTAAACTCGTGTTATGTGGGTTTGTTGTTCAGATTACTTTGTCACCCAGATATTAAGCCTAGTACTCATTAATTATTTTTCCTGATCCTCTCCTTCCACTTTCCATAATCAAGGTCAGTCCAGTGTCTATTGTTATCCTCTATGAGTCCATGTATTCTCATCATTTAGCTCCCACTTATAAGAACATGCAGTATTTGGTTTTCTATTCCTGTGTTAGTTTGCTAAGGATAATGGCCTCCAGCTCCCTCCATGTTTCTGCAAAGTACATACTCTCATTTTTATATGGCTGCATAGTACTCAATGATATATATGTACCACATTTTCTTTATCCAGTCTACCACTGATGGGCATTTAGGTTGAACCCATGTCTGCTATTGTGAATAGTGCTGCAATAAGCATACACATGCACGTGTCTTTATGACAGACTGACTTATATTACCTTAGGTATATACCCAGCAATGGGATTGCTGGGTCAAATGGTAGTTCTGTTTTTAGGTCTTCAAGGAATCACCATACTGTTTTCCACAATGGTTGAACTCATTTACCCTCCCACCAGCAGTGTATAGGCATTCCTTTTTCTCCACATTCTCCCCAGTACCTATTATTGTTTGACTTTTTAATGATAGCCATTCTGACTGGTGTGAAATGGTATCTCATTGTGGTTTTGATTTGCATTTCTCTAATAATCAGTGATGTTGAGCTTTTCTTCATATGATTGTTGGCTGCATGTATGTCTTCTTTTGGAAAATGTCTGTTCATGACCTTTACCCACTTTTTAATGGAGTTGTTTTTTTTCTTATAAATACAAGTTTTTTATAGATGCTGGATATTAGACCTTTGTCAGATACATAATTTGAAAACATTTTCTCTCATTCAGTAGGTTGCCTGCTTACTCTATTGGTAGTTTATTTTGCCATGCTGAAGCTCTTTAGTTTAATTAGATCCCATTTGTCAAGTTTTTTTTTTGTTGCAATTGCTTTTGCCTCCTCATCATAAAATCTTTGCCTGTTCCAATGTCCAGAAAAATATCATTTAGGATGTCTTCCAGGTTTTTTATAGTTTTGGGTTTTACATTTTAGGCTTTACTCTATCTTGAGTTAATTTTTGCATACAGTGTAAGGAGGGGTCCAGTTTCAGTTTTCTGCATATGGCTAGCCAGTTACCCCAGCAACGTTTATTGAATAAGGAGTCCTTTCCCCATTGCTTTTGTAAGGCTCATCAAAAATCAGATAGTTGTAGGTATGCAGTCTTTTTTCTGGATTCTCCATTCTGTTCCATTGGTCTATGTGTCTGTTTTCATACCAGTACCATGCTGTTTTGGTTACTGTAACTCTGTATTATAGTTTGAAGTCAGGAAGTGTGATGCTCCCAGCTTTGTTCTTTTTGCTTAGGACTGCCTTGGATATTTAGGCTCTTTTTTGATTCCAAATAGATTTTTAAATAGTTTTTCCCAATTCTCTGAAGAATGTCAATGGTAGTTGGACAGGAACAGCATTAAGTCTGTAAATTTCTTTGGGCAGTATGGCCATTTTAATGATATTGATTTTTCCTATTCATGAGCATAAAATGTTTTTCCATTTGTGTCATTTCTGATTTCTTTGGACAGTGTTTTGCAGTCTTTCTTGTACAGATCTTTCACATCCCTGGTTAGCTGTATCCATAGGTATTTTATTCTTTTTATGGTAATGGTAAATGGGATTGCATTTCTCACTTCACTCTCAGCTTGACTGTTGTTGGTGTATAGGAATGCTAGTGATTTTTGCATGTTGATTTTGTATCCTGAAACTTGGCTAAGGTTGTTTATCAGATCAAGGGACTTTTGGGCCAAGAGTATGGGGTTGTTTCAGTTTATGATCATGTCATCTGCAAACAAGGATAGTTTGATTTCCTCTCTTCCTATTTGGATTTGCATGCCCTTTTTTTCTTTCTCTTGTCTGATTGCTCTGGCCACAACTTCCAATATTATGTTGAATAGGAGTAGTGAGACAGGGCATCCTTATCTTGTGCTGGTTTTTGAGACAGAGTCTCTCTCTGTCACCCGGGCTGGAGTGCCGTGGAGTGATCTTGGCTCACTGCAAGCTCTGCCTCCTGGGTTCACACCATTCTCCTGCCTCGGTCTCAGGAGTAGCTGGGACTACAGGCACCCACCACCATGCCTGGCTAATTTTTTGTATTTTTAGTAGAGATGGGGTTTCACCATGTTAGCCAGGATGGTCTCTATCTCCTGACTTTAGAATGCTTCCAGCTTTTGCCCATTCAGTATGATGTTGTCTGTGGGTTTGTCATAGACAGCTTGTACTAGTCAAGGTTCTCTATAGGGACAGAATTAATGAATATATATGTGTGTGTGTGTGTGTACATATATATATGCGTGTGTGTGTATATACATATTTCTATAGATACATAGGAGTTTATTAAGTATTAACTCACATGATCACAAGGTCCCACAATAGGCCGTCTGCAGGCTGAGGAGCAAGGAGAGCCAGTCTGATTTCCAAAATTGAAGAACTTGGAGTCTGATGCTCGAGGGCAGAAAGCATCCAGCACAGGAGAAAGATGGAGGCTGGGAGGCTTGGCCCATTTTGTCTTTTTCACATTTTTCTGCCTGCTTTTTATATTCTAGCCATGCTGGCAGCTGATCAGATGGTGTCCACCCAGATTAAAGATGGGTCTGCCTTTCCCAGCCCACTGACTCATATGTTAATCTCCTTTGGCAACTCCCTCACAGACACATCCAGGATGAATACTTTGTATCCTTAAATCCAATGAAATTGACACTCAGTATTAACCATCACACAGCTCTTACTGTTTTGAGGTATATTCCTTCAATACCTAGTTTATTGAGAGTTTTTAACTTGAAGAGGTGTTAAAATTTATCAAATGCCTTTTCTGCATCTATTGAAATAATCATGTGGTTTTTATCTTTAGTTCCATTGATGTGCTGAATTATATTAACTGATTTGCATATATTGAACCAACTTTGCATCCCAGGAATAAAGCCTACTTGACTGTGGTAGATAAGTTTCTGATGTACTGCTGGATTTGGTTTGCCAGTACTTTCTTGAGGATTTTTGCATTAATGTTTATCACAAATATTGGCCTGAAGTTTTTTGTTGTTGTTGTGTTTCTGCTGGCTTTTGGTATCAGGATGATTCTGTCCTCACAGAATGAGTTAGGGAGGAGTCTCTCCTCAATTTTTTGAAATCGTGTCAGTAGGAATGATACTAGCTTTTCTTTGTACATCTGATAGAATTTGGCTGTGAATCCATCTGGTCCTGGGATTTTTGTTTGTCTGTTTGTTTGTTTTTGGTTGGTAGGCTATTTATTACTGATTCAATTTCAGAGCTCATTGTTGAATTGTTCAAGGATTCAATTTCTTCCTGGCTCAGTCTTGAGGGGGTGTATGTGTCTAAGATTTCATCCATTTCTTCTAGATTTTCTAGTTTATGTGCATAAAGGTGTTCAGAATATGCTCTGATGGTTATTTGTGTTTCTGTGGGGTCAGTCGTAATATCCCCTTTGTCATTTCTAATTGTTTAGTTGGATCTTCTTTTCTTATTCATTAGTCTACCTATTTTATTAATTTTTTCAAAAAATCAACTCCTGGATTTCTTGACCTTTTGAAATGTTTTTCATGTCTCAATCTCCTTCAATTCAACTCTGATTTTGAATATTTCTTGTCTTCTGCTAGCTTTAGGATTTGTTTTATCTTGGTTCTCTAGTTCTTTTAGTTGTAATGATAGGTTACATTATATAACCTATCATTTGTAACCTATCAGTTGTAATGATAGTTTACATAATGATAGAAAAATGAGATTCTTCTAACTTCTTGGTGTGGGCATTTAGTGCTGTATGTTTTCATTTTAACATTGCCTTAGCTGTGTCCCAAAGATTCTGGTATGTTGCATCTTTGTTCTTATTAGTTTGAAAGAACTTATTGATTTCTGCCTTAATTTCATTATTTACTCAAAAGTCATTCAGGAGCAGGTTATTTGATTTCCATGGAATTGTATGGTTTTGAGTGAATTTCTTAATCTTGATTTCTAATTTCATTCCACTGTGGTCTGAGAGAGTAGTTTTTATAATTTCAGTGTTTTGCATTTGCTAAGGAGTGCTTTGTGTCCAACAATGTGATCAATTTTAGAGTATGTGCCATGTGGCGATGAGAAGAATGTATATTCTGTTGCTTCTGAGTGAAGAGTTCTGCAGATGTCTATCAAGTCTATTTGATACAGTGCTGGGTTCAGGTTTTGAATATGTTTGTTCGTTTTCTGCCTTGATTATCTGTCTAATAATATCACTGGGGTGTTCAAGTCTCCCACTATTATTGGGTGGGAGTCTAAGTCCCTGAAGGTCTTTGAGAACTTGCTCTATGAATCTGTGTGGTCCTGTGTTGGGTGCATATACATTTAGAATAGTTAGATCTTCTTGTTGAATTGAACCCTTTACCATTATGTAATGCCTTTCTTTGTCTTTTTTGACCTTTGTTGGTTTAAAGTCTGTTACGTCTGAAATTAGAATTGCAATCTCTGCTTTTTTCTGTTTTCCATTTGCGTGGTTAATTTTTCTCCACCTTTTTATTTTGAGCCTATAGCTGTCCTTGAATATGAGATGGGTCTCTTGAAGACAACATATCAATGGATCTTGTTTCTTTACCCAGCTTGCCACTCTGTGCCTTTTAATTGGGGCATTTTGCCCATTTACATTCAAGGTTACTATTGATATGTGTGGATTTTATCCTGTCATCATAATGTTAACTGGTTATTATTCAGACTTGTTTATGTGGTTGCTTTATAGTGTCACTGTTCTTTGTATTTAAGCATGTTTTTGGTGGCTGCTAATGGTCTTTCCTTTCTGTATTTAGTGCTTCCTTCAAATGCTCTTGTAAGGCCCATCTGGTGGTAACAAATTCTCTCAGTATTTGCTTGTCTCAAAAGTATCTTATTTCTTTTTCACTTATGAAGCTTATTATGGATGGATATGAAATTCTTGGTTGGAATTTGTTTTTTGTAAGAAGGTTGCGTATTAGCTGGCAATATTTTCTGGCTTGCAGGATTTCTGGTGAGATGTCTGTTGTTAGTCTAATGGGCTTCCCTTTGTAGATAACCTGACCTTTCTCTCTAGCTGTCTTCAACATTTTTTCTTTCATTTCAGCCTTGGAGAATGTTAATTATGTGTCTTGTGGATAAACTTCTTGTGAAGTATCTTACTGAGGTGCTCTGCATTTCCTCAATTTGAATGTGGGCCTCTCTAGCTAGGTTGAGGAAGTTCTCATGGATGATATCCACAAATATGTTTTCCAAGTTGCTTGCACTGTTTCATCTCCTTCAGGGACACCAATTAGATTTGGTCTCTCTAAATAATCCAATATTTCTCAGAGGTTTTACTTGTTCCTGTTCATTCTTTATTCTCTATTCTTGTCTGCCTGTCTTATTTCGGAAAGCTATTCTTCAAACTCTGAGATTCTTTCCTCAGCTTGGTCTATTCTTCTATTAATACGTTTGATTGCATTATGAAATTCTTGTAGTGTGCTATTCAGCTATGTTAGGTTAGTTACATTATTTTCTATACTGGCTATTTTGTCTGTCTGCTCCTGTATCATTTAATTGTGACTTTTAGCTTCCTTGGATTGGGTTTCAACATACTCCTACATCTTAATGATTTCCATTCTTATCCATACTCTGAATTTTATTTCTGCCATCTCAGACATCCCAGCCTGGTTCAGAACCCTTGCTGAAGAGGTGGTGCAGTCATCTGGGGGAAAGAAGGCACACTGACTTTTTGAGTCGTCAAAGTTCTTGCACTTGTTCTTTCTCATGTTTTGGGGCTGATGTTTCTTTAATCTTTGAAGTTGCTAACCTATGGATGGACTTTTTTTTTTTTCATTTTATCCTATTTAATAAACTTGAAGGTTTGATTGTGGTATAAAGTGGATTCAGCCAACTGGCTTTGTTTCTGGAAGATTTTAGGGGGCCAGTGCTCAGCTCCCAAGTCCTGGACTACATGCTCAGACTCTGGGGGACTTGCATAAGGCCCCAATTTTGTTGTCAGGCTCCTATAGGTTAAGAATCCACTGTGCTGGGGAAGGGGGCTGCTGACAAGGTGCTCCTGGACCAGCGGTCACTACACTCCAATGAGTGGTGTCAGCCAAAGCATTTCATAGTGCAGTAGCAGAAGGATACATCTTTGTTTGCATGTGCCAGCAGCAGGAGCAGCATGAAGAGGTGCATATTCATTGGCTGCAGCAGAGTGCTTGCCAGTGCTGGGGTGCCTGCCTCTGCATGTTCATTCACCACAGTGGAGTGGGCAGCATGGCTGCAGGGTGCAGGGGGCTCCTGTTGGGGACTGTGCACTCGATTAGGCTGATAGTGGTGTTAGCACATGAGTGGGGTATTCACTATTTCCTAATTTACCTTGTGATTTCTTTTTTGACCCATTGGTTTTTAAAGAATGTGTTTTACAATTTTTTCATATTTGTAGACTTTCCAGTATTCCTTCAACTGGTAATTTCTAGTTGCATTGCATTGTAGTTGGAAAAGATACCTTGCATGATTTCAATTTTATTAATTTGTTAAGATTTGTTTTGTGACCTAAAATGTAGTCTGTCCTGGAGACTGTCACACATGTGCTTGAGAAGAATGTGTATCCTCCTGTTGTTGGAAGAAATGTTCTGTACATGGCTGTTAGGTACAATTGGTCCACAGTAGTCCGCCCTTATCCTTGGTTTCTCTTTCTGTGGTTCTAGTTACTCATGGTCAAACGAGGTCTGAAAATATTAAGTGGAAAATTCTGAAAATCAATAATCAAAAGTTTTAAATTGTGCATCATTCTGAGTAGCATCTTGCTCCAACCTGTTTGGAACATGAATCATCCCTTTCTGCAGCATATCCATATTTTAGATATATTTTTCTATCTTTTCCCTTATAGCTTATGTGTGTCTTTAAAGTCTGTTGTAGACAGCATATGGATGGCTCTTGGTTTTTTGTTGTTTTTAATTTTTTATCTATTCAGCCAATCTATGTATTTTGATTAGTTTAATTCATTTACATTTAAAATACAGTTGACCTTTCTACAACATGAGTTTGAACTGTGTGAGTCCACTTAGGTATGGATTTTTTTTCAATAAATATTACACCCTGTGCCTGCCTCTCCTGCCTCCCCTTCCACCTCTTCCACCTCTTCCACCACTGCCACCCGTGAAACAGAAAGACTAACCCCTTCTCCTCCTACTCCTCCTCAGCCTACTCAATGTGAAGACAATGAGGATGAAAAACTTTATGGTGATCTATATCCACTTAATTAATAGGAAATGTATTTTCTCTTTTTCAGAATTTTCTTTCTAGAATTTAAAAGTGAATGTATTTGTACAATTTGATACTTTCATTAGCCAGCGAACATTTGGAAAAGTACAGAACAAATTGCTAACATAAGGACATAAATAACCCCACTGCTTGTTATTGTCAACTTTGTTGAAGATCAGATAGTTGTAGGCGTGTGACTTTAATCCTTGGTTCTCTATTCCATTCTATTCTATTGGTTTATGTGTCTGTTTCTGTACCACAGAAACAGGGGAGGACTTACTATTGTCATTTTTTAAATATCTTTTGGCTATTTCATTTGTCTTTTCCTCTCTTATTGCCTTCCTTTGTTTTCACTAGCTTTTTTTGTACCATGCTGTTTGGTTACTGTAGCCTTATAGTATAGTATAGTTTGAAGTTGGGTGATGTGATGTCTCCAGCTTTGTTGTTTTTTTTTTTTAGGACATATGCTGGTTTTACATCCTTACACTTCACTGAAGCCATTTATCAGCTCAAGGAGCCTTTTGGCAGAGCCTTCAGGATTTTCTAGGTATAAAATCATATCATCAGTGAAGAGAGATAATTTGACTTCATCTTTTATTATTTGGATGCCTTTTATTTCTTTCTCTTGCCTGATTCCTCTGGCTTTAACTTCCAGTACTATGTTGAATAGTAATGGTGAGAGAATGTTCTTATTAACATTTTCTATTATGTAGCTTACTTTATTGTAAGGGTACAGTACTAATAGATATAACAAACAAATATGTGTGAATTGACTATTAATGCTATTTTTAAGGCATCCAGTAAATCACAGGCTATTAGTAGTTAAGTTTAGGGAAGTCAAAAGTTGTATGCAGATTTTCAACTATGTGGGAAATTGATTCCCCTAAGCCCCATGTTGTTCAAGGGTCAACTCATTACCGATAGGGGAGGACTTACTATTGCCATTTTTTAAATATATTTTGGCTATTTCATCCGTCTTTTCCTCTCTTATTGCCTTCCTTTGTTTTCACTCACTTTTTTTGTAGTGATATGCTTTGATTACCTTCTTATTTCCATCTGTTCATCCTCTACAGGTATTTTCTTTGTGGGAACCATGTGAATTACAAAAAATATCTTAAGTTTATAATAACCTATTTTAAACTGTTAACAATTTAACTTCATACTAGTACTCTTCCACTTTACATCTCTGCCTTCCCACCCTACACACTTTATGTTATTAATGTCACAAATTGCATCTTTTTATACTGTGCATTCATTAACATCAATTTAGAGTTATTTTATGCTTGTCATTTAAATTTTATACAAGAATTAAAAGTATCTTATGAACCAACATTATGATACTACATGAGTGAATATTTGCCTATATATTTATCTTTACCAGAGAGCTTTATATATTTGTGTGGTCTTGTGTTGCTATCTTATATCCTTCCCTTTCAACTTGAAGGACTCCCTTTAGAATTTATTGCATACCAGGTCTACTGGTGATGAACTCTCTCAGCTTTTGTTTATCTGGGAAAGTCTTAATTTATTCTTCATTTTTGAAGGATAGTTTTGTGTGATGTAGTATTCTTGGTTGGCAGGGTTTTTTCTTTCTTTCTTTCTTTCTTTCAGCACTTTAAATCCACCCTCTTTTCTTCTGCAAAATTTCCTCTGAAAAATTCATTGATAATCTTCTAGAAGCTCCTTTGTGCAAGATAGTCATTTTTCTCTTGTTGATTTCAAGATTGTATCTTTGTGATCTTTGGGAGTTTGATTATAATGTGTCCTGGTGTGAGTCTTTTGGAGTTTTTGAGTTAGAGTTTGTTGAGCTCTTTGAATTTCTATGTTCATTCCTTTCCTCAGATTTGGGAAGGTTTTGGCCATTATTTCTTCAAATAGTTATCCACTTCTTTCCCTCTTGCTTTTCCTCTGGGATGCTCATATTGCTTGATAATGTCCCTTAAGCCTTTTAGGCTCTTCACTTTTCTTCATTTTGTTTTCTTTATGCTCCTTTGACTTGGTACTTTGACCTCCTTGATAGATGACCTGCTTTTGTAAATTAAAATTTTCTTAGAACACAGCTGCACCCATTCATTTATGTATTGCAAACCCTTTTGTACCTTTTGAGCTACATGGGCAAACTGTGTCATTGCAATGATATATTGGCCCACAACTTTAAGTATGGCCCACAAGCCTAAAATATCCTGGCCTTTTTCAGAAAAAAATTACCCTGATCCCTGCCTAGAAGAGTGTATCTTGTCTACAAAACAACAGAGTATCTTTTGCAAAGAGTAAGTATTATAAGGATTCTGCTTCTTTCATCCCCTAAGACAGGGGTCCCCAACCCATAGGCCATGGACCAGTACCAGTCTGTGGTCTGACAGGAACCGGGCCACACAGCAGGAGGTGAGTGGCAGGTGACTGAGTGAAGCCTCATCTGTATTTACAGCCACTCACCATCTTATATGATTTGGCCATGTCCCCACCCACCTCTCACCTTGAGTTATAATAACCCCTATGTGTCAAGGGCAGTTCCCCCATACTGTTCTCATGGTAGTGAATAAGTCTCATGAGATCTGATGGTTTTATAAATGGGAGTTCCCCTGAACAAGCTCTCTTGCCTGCCACCATATAAGATGTGGCTTTGCTCCTTGACAGCTTCCACCATGATTATGAGGTCCCCCCAGCCATGTGGTACTGTGAGTCAATTAAACCTCTTTCCTTTATAAATTACCCAGTCTCAGGTTTGTCTTTATTAGCAGCATGAGAACAGACTAATACAGTAAATTGGTACTCGTAGAGTGGGGTGCTGCTATAAACATACCTGAAAATGTGGAAATAACTTTGGAACCGGGTAATAGGTAGAGGTTGGAACACTTTGGAGGGCTCAGAAGAAGATAGGAAAATGTAGGAAAGTTTGGAACTTCCTAGAGACTTGGAGGGATCAGAAGACAGGAAGATGTGGGAAAGTTTGGAACTTCCTAGAGACTTGTTGAATGGCTTTGACAAAAATGCTGATAGTTACTTGGACAATAAAGTCCAGGCTGCAGTGGTCTCAGATGGAGATGAGGAACTTGTTGGGAACTGCAGTAAAGGTCACTCTTGCTATGCAAAGAGACTGGTGGCATTTTGCCCCTGCCCTAGAGATCTTTGGAAATTTGAACTTGAGACAGATGATTTAGGGTATCTGGTAGAAGAAATTTCTAAGCAGCAAAGTGCTCAAGATGTAACTTGGGTGCCGTTAAAAGCATTCAGTTTTATGTATTCACAAAGATATGGTTTAGAATTGGAACTGATGTTTAAAAGGGAAGCAGAGCAGAAAAGTTTGCAGGCTGACGATGCGATAGAAAAGAAAAACCCATTTTCTGAGGAGAAATTCTAGCTGGATACAGAAATTTGCATAAATAACAAGGAGCTAAATGTTAATCACCAAGGCAATGGGGAAAATGTCTCCAGGGCATGTCAAAGGTCTTGGCAACAGCCTCTCCCATCACAGGCCCAGAGGCCTAGGAGGAAAGAATGGTTTCATGGGCCAGGCCCAGACCCCCCACCCCGGCTCTGTGCAGCCTAGGGATTTGGTGCCCTGCATCTCAGCTACTCTAGACATGGCTACAAGGGGCCAAGGTACAGCTCAGCCGATGGCTTCAGAGGGTGCAAGCCCCAAGCCTTGGCATCTTTCATGTGGTGTCGAGTCTTCGGGTGCACAGAATTAAAGAACTGAGGTTTGGGAACCTCTGCCTAGATTTCAGAGGATGTGTGGAAATACCTGGATGTCCAGGCAGAAGTTTGCTGCAGGGTTGGGGCCCTCATGGAGAACCTCTGTTAGGACAGTGCAGAAGGGAAATGTGGGGTTGGACCCCCCACACAGAGTCCCCACTGGTGTACTGCCTAATGCAGCTGTCAGAAGACAGTCACCATCCTCCAGACCCCAGAAAGGTAGATCCACCATGAGTTTACACCATGCACCTGGAAAAGCCACAGACACTGAACTCCAGCCTGTGAAAGCAGTCAGGAGGGAGGCTGTACCCTGAAAAGCCACAGGGGTGGAGCTGCCCAAGACCATAGGAGCCCACCTCTTCCATTAGCATGATCTGGATATGAGACATGGAGTCAAAGGAGATCATTTCAGAGCTTTAAGATTTGGCTGCCCAACTAGATTTTGGATTGCTTGGAGCCTTTAGCCCCTTTGTTTTCACCCATTTCGCCCCTTTGCAATGGGAGCATTTACCCAATGCCTGAATGTCCATTGTATCTTGGAAGTAACTAACTTACTTTTGATTTTACAGGCTTATAGGCAGAAGTGACTTGCCTTGTCTCCAATGAGACTTTGGACTGTGGACTTTTTAGTTAATTCTGAAATGAGTTAAGACTTTGGGGGACTGTTGGGAAGGCATGATTGGGTTTTGAAATGTGAGGACATGAGATTTGGGAGGGGCCAGCAGTGAAATGATGAGGTTTGGCTGTGTCCCCATCCAAATCCCACCTCGTATTGTAATAATCCCCATGTGGAGATTATTGAATCATGGGGGCAGTTTCCCCCATACTGTTCTCATCATAGTGAATGAGTCTCACAAGATGCCCTGGTTTTACAAATGGGAGTTCCCCTGCACAAGTTCTCTTGCTTGCTGCCATGTAAGATGTGACTTTGCTCCTTATTCACCTTCCATCATGAATGTGAGACCTCCCCAGACATGTGGAACTGTGAGTCAATTAAATCTCTTTGTAAATTACCCAGTCTCAGGCATGTCTTTATTAGCAGCACAAGAACAGACTAATACACCATTGCTCACACTACTGCATAAGCTCCACCTTCTCTCAGATCAGGGGTAGCATTAGATTCTCAAAAGAGCACAAATTCTATTGTGAACTGTGCATATGAGGGATCTAGGTTGTGCACTCCTTATGAGAATCTAATGCCTGATGAGCTGTCACTATCTCCCATCACCCCGAGATAAGAGTGTCTAGCTGCAGGAAAACAAGCTCAGGGCTCAACTGATTCTATATTATGGTGAGTTGTATAATTATTTCATTATATATTACAATGTAATAATAATAGAAATAAAGTGCACAATAAATGTAATGCACTTGAATCATTCCAAAACCATCCCCTCCTCCATGGGCTATGGAAAATTGCCTTCCATGAAACCAGTCCCTGGTACCAAAAAGGTTGGGGACTGCTGCCCTAAGAGGAAATGAATAAAACACAGTAAAAACAAAGAAGAATTTGCAGGTAAATGCTGAGCTTCAATCATCCCACAGGATTTGGACAAAAACTGGTTCAAGGGTGTAGCTCTCCTGGTTAATAAATGTGCTTTACTCTTTACTCATCATATTTTGGAAACCTTCAGGCAATGATAGATTAATTGACCCCATGGCATTTAAGTTAGATATGGAACTATAGCAAAGAAAATTCTTGATATAATATACGTAAGTTTTTACACAGTATATTTGTATATAATTACTTCTAAGTTTCATGACAGAAGTCCTTCAAAGAAATCAAGCTAGTTGAAACATTGCAATATGAAAAATTCTCTTGAGGCCTAATGGGTTTTCATTGACTTCAAAATGATTTACAGATCAGATTGCCTAGTTTTCAATATTGGATACTTCCCTTTTATTACACTCACTTTTCGCATTCCCATACCTTTGTCTCTCTTCTCAATGTGTTATTCTTCTGTTAATTATCCTTAGCATCAATTCTTCTCAAATGATGCAATTTCTACACTTGTTTTCCTATATGCTGCATTAACTGATTTTTTTCCCATTCACTTCCCCACCTCCAGACATGATGTATATAAATCACTGAATGGCTAATGAAAGCCCAGGTTCTATTCTTGGGTTTGCCACCATCTATCTTTGTAACTTAAGGATATCTTATTATTCCATGAGTGTTAGATTCACCTGAAGCAGAGGAGATTGACCCAGCATCTCTAAAATACGTCAAAAATGTGTGGATAAGATAAAATTTAAACTATTTGCTTCTCAGCAAGAAACGTAACAAGTAACAGGTGTTTTAGAAGCTACGAGTGCAATGCTTCACAGCAATATACCAGATGTATATGGGCAGATTATCTTCAGAGCTGCCAAGAAGATGCACAGAGGCATTTCCATCAAGGACTACAAACCATGAACTAAGCTCTTCCAGCCATATTGCCAGACATGCCTCTAGAGCCAACAAAACTGGGTCTGATTTAACATAATTCATCATCCCTATTTTCTAAGAAAATACATGCTGTAGACTATAAAATATATGGAATTTATATAAAATATAATTTATTAATTTTGTATAGAATTATATAGAATTTATATAAAATATAAATCTTAATTTTGGATTATTAAATACATGATATAATTATGTAATGTCATACACAATAATTGTATGTATTTTACTTCAATTACTTCCAATTGGTTTGTAGTTTAATTTTAAGAGTACAGAAGAACTGCAGGCACATTAGTCTCCAGTTCCTGCCTCTGCCCTCTCTAATTGATATGTCCTTGTCCTGAGCTTCTAGCTCATAGAAGCAACTAATTTTCCTCTTCACAGATATGGCTACTAATTATACCAATTCCTAACACTGGATCCAGGAAGGCCCATCCATATTGCATCCAGCAACTCATAGGGTAGCCTGATTAAAGGTAATTCATTAGCTAGTCAATTACTTGCATTGCTCTAGAACTCTGAGTAGAGAATATGGCCATGCTCAAAGAAGGAAACAGAGAAGATGAACAGTAAGAAGCACTGTTGCTATCACTGGGGCCCTATGAGTCATGAAAGGAGGTAAAAGAATTAGCGTGTACTACTTCTCTACAACCCTGCAATGATTTCCCACAGCTTCTTAGAAAACTCAAGCGTCTTTCCTCTGACAAAAGGCTGCAATACACTTGACATTTGTCTGTCTCCCACATCTCACTCTGTCTATTCTCTCCATTGCTCCTTACACTCCAATCATACTGTTTTCTGATTTTGTTGTTGTTATTGTCTTTCTTGTCTTGAATAACTGTGTTTGTTATAACTTCTACCTGGAATATATCTCCTTGCATGGTTGGCTGCTTTTCATTATTCAGAAGTTAGCTTATATGGCACTTGTTCTCTTACTATCCAATCTACATTAGAATCTTCCTAGTCATTCCCTAACCCATTGGCCTGTGCTTCCCTTCTGCTAAATTAGATTTTTTCCTTTTTTATTGTCTATCTCCTCCTACCAGAAAAAAGTACATGAGAGACGAAGGGCCCTTAATTGTATTATTTTTTGTTGCATCTTCATTGACTAGAACAGAGAATGGCATTAGTATTCATGAATTACTAATAGAATAAATACATGAGCGAAAAGATAATAAGATAATGAGACCCTAATACTGCCCTGTATCTGATGGATTTCTGATTTCAGTTCCAGGCTACATGTATTCTTACAATAGATTCACATTTTTTTAAGTGATTTCCATTTCTGCTCCTTGCAACCAAAAGTCATCATATACTTGAGACTCTGTGTGACTTTGAGCAACAGGTCATCAACCACCACACCCCCAAACTGGAGCCTTCTCCCACACTGGGCACATTCCCAAAACAGCCCTGTGGATTCTCCACATGTTTCTATAACCGGTCATACGGGATTTCTAATTAATTTGCACAGACTTTGATTTCATACAATTTTTGGAGGACAGAAAATATGCTTTTTATAATCACATTTTATTTTTGCAGTTGGCTGAGTTTATATCCTGACATTCTTGGTTTTCTAATTTCATTAATTTGTATTCTACCACAGCTGGTAGTCTACTGGGAAGTTTGTTTTTTAACTTCATGAACTTTGTTAAGGTAGAGAGATTTTAAATATGGCAAAAAAAATTACTTTTCAAACTAAACGTATTCATTAGTAACTTAAAGTACATAGTATTACAAATAATGAGTTTCAATATCCAATTGTAACTCCCTGTGACAATGAAAGTTGTGACTAATTGAAGATATACAATGAGGTGTTGATTATCTTGAAGATGCCCTTGTGGAAGGAGTAAGGGCTAGAGGCATCTTTTTTATTTCTAAGCCCTCATAACTATCCTCAACTATTTTTAGGTTTTAATACTGTGATCCCAAAGCATTCCATTCCCATCTAGATGTGCTCAGCATCTTTAACTACACTGCCCTCCACCTGTATAGAGTTGAGGCGCCCAATACCTAGAAAAGTTCCCTTCTCTCCATGTACTAATAATTTCCAGGAATTTCTCCAGAATCTGGTTACTCTATCCTCAACTACTCTAGTTTTTTAGGATCTGGTTCTTGCTGGTTTTTGACTTTTGGCCTGCCCCTTCAGACTTAATTGGTTCCATAGCTTGTGTTCACCCAAATTTTTATTTTTAGTTTATTCTACACCTTGCAGCTAAGAGTCATCCCTGTCCACTTCCATACAAAACCCAACTTCCTGAAGCCCAGCAGGGACCCAATGCAAGGCCCACCAATTACTTGGGAGAAGAGTTCAGATAAATTTTCCTGTATCCCATTACAAATCATTATCAGGTATAATTGCTTCAAAGTAATAGAACAACTGTGTAATACTAAAAAATTTACAGTGAAACACACTACTCTCACCGAGTTTCCAGGATCCATTCCATTTATTCACTACTGGGAGAATAGGAAACATTTTATTCATGTCTCTATGGGTAACGAGAGAAGTTGAAAACAGTACAGGAATGGACTAGGGGGCTGGCAATGGAAATGTAAAGGAAAAGATAGGAGTGAGAGATGCTAGAAATGAAAATGTGATAAGGACCTGGCTGTTATATATATATTAGGCACAAAGGAGACAAAACTTTCTACAATAATGACAATTTTTCCAACTTGAATGATTGAATGCTTCATACCAGTAGCAAATAGGCAAGTGAAAAGGAGAACAAGAGCGGAAGGAGTTGATAATTAAGGCAATTATTTAAAAAGTAAAACACATAGTCAAAAATATATTTAGTTGTATATTTTTAACTAATGTGGGAGTGGTCAGAGAAAATGACTATATCAACTCATTTATCCCTGAATGAATGAGTTGTACACTAAAGAGACAAATGAGACATAATCTCTCTCTCTGCTGGCTCTGGGACCCTTTCTGCCACCTCCTATGAACTTTCCTTTCCCAGACTACAACTCATATTTTAATCTACACCTTGGGCTCTGTTAACTAAGATGAGCATAAGGAAAAAGAACGCAGAAATTAAAGAGAAAAGAAGTGCTCAACGAGTTAAAAGAATCAAGCAAGTGCAACGTTACCCCAAGCCAAAATATAAAGGAACTTCAAGAGAAAGAGAGCAGAAAACAATTTGAAGTGCTAGAGATTTCAAAGCAAATGCATTTGCAGCTTGAAGATTACTAGATAGTCAATAATTAGATATAGCAGGAAATGGGGGAAGTATTGCTGTATAACAAAGAACTGACTGCACTTGCTTTTTCATTCTATGGTGATAGTATTCATTTTGGGAAAAGGTTCTACATATAAGAAAGTAATTCAGTGATCGTTTTGAGTGCATGTGTGAACAAAAAGGGCACTTTCTACCCTTAAAAGAGGGTTAAAAAAAAAAAAAAAAAACTTAATTTCTATGCAAAGCAGAGTGGAAAAAAAACACCAAGGATCGGCCAGGCACAGTGGCTCACACCTGTAATCCCAGCACTTTGGGAGGCCGAGGCGGGTGGATCTCTTGAGGTCAGGAGTTCAAGACCAGCCTCGCCAATATGGTGAAACCCCGTCTCTACTAAAAATACAAAAATTAGCCGGGCATGGTGGTATTTGCCTGTAATCCCACCTGCTCAGGAAGCTGAGGCAGGAAAGTCACCTGAACCTGAGAGGCGGAGGTTGCAGTGAGCAGAGATCACACCACTGCACTCCAGTCTGGGCGACAGAGTGAGACGCTGTCTCAAAAACAAAACAAAACAAAACAAAACAGGAAGAAAGAGTGGATCAAGAGCCTGGAGAGAAAATTAAAATTAATAAATAAATAATGATAAATGTGAAGATGAGCTAGGTAAAGAAAGAGCCCTAGTGCCAAGCTAAAGGCCTTAAGAAGAGAGGAAGCTGATGCCCTATTTTCAGCAATGGCTGATAAATTTTTGAGACTGTAATGCCTGATAATAAATTAATGTCCACATGGATTTTACTGTAGCTATTCATAAGAGAATGAAGAAATTAGGGTGGTGTCCACCATAGGGAAGAGTCAGACAGCAAGAGAAAGAATCTTCAAGTACTGAGAGTGATGATTAAGAAGAAAATTACTGTGTGGTCCAATAAACAGATATCAATCTCCCTGAAATCCACAATAATATCAGTAATAGTTTCAAAACTTTATACAGTGTTGCTATAGATGGAATATTTGTATACCCTCCAAAATTCTTATGTTGGGGCCTTGATCTTCAATGTGATGGTATTTAGAGGTGGGGCTTTGGGGTATAATGAATGGAATTAATGCTCTTGTATGAAAGAGACAAGAGAGAGATGGTCTCTCTCTCAACCATGTGAGGACACAGGGAGAAGGTGGAGGTCTGCAAACCAGGAAAAGGGCCCTCACCGGAAACTAGACCATTCTGGTCACCTGATTTTGGACTTTCATCTTCAGAACTGTGAGAAATAAATGTTTGTTGTTTAAGTCACCTACTCTATGACATTTATTATAGCAGCCCAAGCTAACTAAGGCAGGGATAGAGTCTTGTGCCAACATATTTGGATATTAAAATAAAGGGTGATCTTCAAAGTCTAGAGAACTTGATGACACCAAGTCAGTTGACTCTTGGGCTATAATAGTTTCACCGTTTGCGCTTTTGTTTTTGTAATCAGTGTTGCCAGCAGATGCCTGTACTGAGCAGGTAATGGCTTATTTGGTGTCATTTAAGGAATTAGTCTCCGCTTAAAATTATCTCCCTACACTTTGAGTATTACAAGTTATAGATTAATGTGTATAGGAAAATATCAGTCATGTTCACATTGGTCTAAAAATTAGTTAAAACAAATTCTCCTTCCTCTAGAGGCTAGCTAAGACTATTTGAAAGTTTGGATGAGAAGAAACAGGGGAACGAAATAAGACACTGGGAGATGGAAACCCAAGCTATGGCAAGGAGAAACTTTCAGGGCCCAACAAGTGGCACTAATGCCCTGGGTGCTGGAAATGATGAGGTAGAGTGAGAGGAGATGGGTGTAATGGTGCCAAAGATAATTCCAACTATTTAGAAATTTTACCTAGAACACTGCATTTTTAAAAAATAATAATTCAAATTGTCAATTTCCCCATCATTCATTTTTTCTTAACCATTTCTGCCTCTTCACTTTCTGTTCTTCCAAAGTGATCTTTAATTATTTGTTTCAGCTCTCTCTCCTTTCTTTTCTTTCTCTAGATGTCTCAACAAGCTGAGAAATGGTTAAATTCAAACTACAGGAAAAGGAGGTGAGATTAACAGAGTGACTTGTCAGCTAGTCAGCATTGAGAAGCCTCAAATCCCAGAATCCGACAACATTTTTCCTGGATTTTGACCATAGTCTCTGTTTAGTTCACAGACAACCTATCCATATATAGTCAACTCTTCAGTAATTACACTCAGAAGATAGACTTTGAGACTCATCCAAGAAGTAAAGGGTCACATTGTCTTCTGAGTTTAATTTCTCACCTCAGCTGTTTATTTGCTCTGAATAAAGCCTGTGGGATTAGAAAGGGAATCAGTTACATATCCCAAAGCAACTCTTTTAGCTACAGCAATCAGTCCGAGTTCCTATCTTGAGTTTTAATGACGATTAACATCTCTATGATCTTCTGTGTTGGACTGAATTCTATCTAAGGAGAAAACTTGGTAAAATATTTTAAAGCAATCACAAAGCTATTGCTCGGAACAGGTGTGAGTAAATTATAGCCCACAGGCCAAATCTGCCCTGTTGCCTGTTCTCATAAAGTTCCATTGGAACACAGCCACATTTATGTGTTCATATATTGTCTGCTGCTGCTTTTGCACAACTGTAGCAGAATTGAGTAGCTGCAACAGAGATCATCTGATCTTTAAAGCCAAGAATATTTATTATCTGGCCCTTTATAGAAAAAAGTTTGCCAACCCAATTACATCTTCCAGTATAGGCCTCCTTAAATCTGTATGCTTCTTGTTCATTAATCATGCTTAACTGATTTACTGCTAAAAGGATATGAATAGCATGGGAACTAGCAAAATCATGGATTAAAAATAAATATTTGAAGTATCCGCAAAGCTGCATGTGCCACAGTCAGTTTGGTGATTCTCTAACTCTCTTTGACCATTTTGAATAGAACACAGGGCTTCCAGAAATCTGCAGATCTCCAGTGAGCATTTTCCAACCCTTACACAAGTTCTTCAAAGATTTTCAGCTATTACTTAGCAAGCTTGAAGCAACATACTGTTATCAGGAGGTAGAATTTTGATTTATGAAATAGTACAACAGAGCAAAAGGTATTACTCACATCTGTACTAGATGAGATATTTATAACACAACTGCTATCAGCTCCCAAATTTCAAAACCTTTTAAACCACTTTAGCTTAGAGTACATTTCAAACACATTTTCAACTAGAGATCAACATTCAAAAGTACTTTAAAAAATACAAGTTAGAGAAAATATTCAAACTCTTTAGTATAAATATAGCATCTTAGTATCTCTAATAATAATTGGTAGTGTGAGATTTTCTCATTGTTTAATATTTTCTAGAAGCAACTCCCTTGATCATAATCTCTAAAACCTGCCCATAAAGTAAAAAAGAGTAACATTCTTAAAAGAAGTATTCTTGTTTTATAGAAGATACCAATGGTGTGAGCTTGGAAAATGTGTGATTTTACGAAACAAAAACATAGTTGGACCATTTTGTGTATAAAACAAATAAAATTTGAAAAATATTTTCATATCCCAATTGGCATATTTCCCTCAGGTTTTTAGACCTGTTTGTCTGAAATTTTAATACCATTTTTTTTTACTCAAAATAGGCACTGCTGCGTCTGCCTTTTTCTTAAGTTCTCTTTGTTTTTAACCTGTTTCTAAAGGCTGCTTCAGACCAATATTTATGGGTAAGACAATCCTTGGTTTGTAACTTTTGCACTCATTACATGTTGTAACAAATATATTGCCAGCCTTCAACAATCCAGAATTGCTTAAAATTCTAAGAAACTGATTTTAAAATAATTTCCAAACACTAAGTTTACAGAACATTCAGGGTTTAATTCGATGCATCTCACGTATCTAAATTTAGCAAACTATAAAATAGCAGTTCTAACTGGTTCCAAAGATGATCTAGTTCAGAGTTGGCTATCTAACTAAGACGATATGCCAAATCCTAATGTTTTCACTCCTTGCTTGAGGAGAGTGTTGTCACTGTGGTTTAAGGAAGATTTTTTGTGTTTAAGAATCTCCTTGTGACTGGTGCAAAGCAGTGATATCCTGTTAATTTGTTTTAATTTTTCCATAGGTTATTGGGGTACAAGTGGTGTTAAGTTACATGAGTAGGTTATTTAGTGGTGATTTGTGAGATTTTGGTGCACCCATCAACTGAGCAGTATACACTGCACCCTATTTGTATCCCTCGCCCTGCCCCACACTTCCCCCCAAGTCTTCAAAGTCCATTGTGTCATTCTTATGTCTTTGCGTCCTCATAGCTTAGCTCCCACGTATCAGTGAGAACATACAATGTTTGGTTTTCCATTCCTGAGTTACTTCACTTAGAATAATAGTCTGCAATCTCATCCAAGTGGCTGCAAATGCCGTTAATTCATTCCTTTTTATGGCTGAGTAGTATTCCATCATATATATATTTTATATATATGTATATATATATATATATATACATATACACACACACCACAGTTTCTTTATCCACTCATTGATTGATGGGCATTTGGGTTGCTTCCACAATTTCGCAATTGTAAATTGTGCTTCTATAAACATGCATGTGCAAGTATCTTTTTCGTATAATGACTTCTTTTCCTCTGGGTAGATACCCAGGAGTGGGGTTGCTGGATCAAACAGTAGTTCTACTTTAATTCTTTGAGGAATCTCCACACTATTTTCCATAGTAATTGTACTAGTTTACATTTCCACCAGCAATGTAGAAGTGTTCCCTGATCACTGCATCCATGCCATCATCTACTGCTTTTTTAAATTTTTTTGATTATGGCCATTCTTGCAGGAGTAAGGTGGTATCGCATTGTGGTTTTGATTTGCATTTCCCTTATCATTAGTGATGTTGAGCATTTTTTCATGTTTGTTGGCCATTTGTATATCTTCTTTTGAGAATTGTCTATTCATGTCCTTAGCCCACTTTTGATGGAACTGTTTGTTTTTAAATTGCTGATTTGTTTGAGTTCATTGTAGATTCTGGATATTAGTCCTTTGTCAGATGTAGAGATTGTGAAGATATCCTCCCACTCTGTGGGTTGTCTGTTTACTCTGCTGACTGTTTCTTTTGCCATGCAAACGCTCTTTAGTTTAATTAAGTTCCAGCTATTTATCTCTGTTCTTATTGCATTTGCTTTTGGGATCTTGGTCATGAAATCCTTGCCTAAGCCAATGTCCGAAGGGTTTTTCCAATGTTATCTTCTAGATTTTTTTTTTTTTTTTTCTGAAACGGAGTCTCACTCTGTCGCCTAGGCTGGAGTACAGTGGTGCGCTCTTGGCTCACTGTGACCTCTGCCTCCCGGGTTCAAGCGATTCTCCTGCCTGAGCCTCCTTAGTACCTGGGATTACAGGTGCCTGCCACCACGCCTGGCTAATTTTGTACTTTTAGTAGAGACGGGATTTCACCATATTGGCCAGGCTGGTCTCAATCTCCTGACCTCATGATCCGCCCACCTTGGCCTCCCAAAGTGCTGGGATTACAGGCGTGAACCACTGTGCCAGAATTTTTATAGTTTCAGGTCTTAGATTTAAGTCCTTAATCCATCTTAAGTTGATTTTTGTTGCCATTAATTTTAAATGTAGCAGAAGCAGCTTAATGTTGATTTGCAAAATTATCCTACATGTATTATTTCATTCATTCCTAGGAAGAGGATATTGTTATTACCTGCTTTTCACAGATGTGGAATGTGAGCTCAAAGAAGCTAAATTTTACTGGTTGTGAAGCTAGATGGATACAGAATTTGGATTCAAACCTGGGTCTTTTAACTCCAAGATCAGATCTTGCAAAAAGAACAAAGGTAATTAGAGTTTGGACAGATATGAGAGGTCAAAGCAGGCCAAACAGGTGAGCAGTACTAATCTCCAGGATAGTCTGGGTATTAAAGCAGTTGGAACTTCCACAAAGTCAGGGTACACAGTAGATTCAAAGCTAGGAAGACAAGGATCATAACAATATAAATACTAGGAAATGTGGTAAAACAGAAGACCCAAAATATAATGGGAAACAGGGAACCCTCAGAAGCTGAAGAGGAAAGCAAAATTGATAACCAAAAGTCCTAGCAAAGAGTCAGCAATCAGAAAGTTACAGGAATTGGGCCAGACACGGTGGCTCACACCTGTAGTCCTAGCTCTTTGGGACGCTGAGATGGGAGGATCACCTCAGTCAGGAGTTTGAGACCAGCCTGACCAACATAGTGAAACCCCATCTCTACTGAAAATACAAAAGTTAGCCAGGCATGGTGGCACATGCCCATAATCCCAGCTACTTGGGAGGCTGAGACAGGAGAATCACTTAAACCTGGGAGGCAGAGGTTGCAGTGAGCCAAGATCATGCCATTGCACTCCAGCCTGGGCAACAGAGCATGACTCCGTATAAAAAAAAAAAGAAAGTAAGTAAGTAAATAAGTTACAGGAATTGAGGAAACAAGAGAAAGCAGTAGAGAAACATGATTTCCTCCATTTATTCATCAAGACTTCATTGACTAATTATTTGAGTTCAGGCACATTGCTACACTGAGAATGCATTCAGCACTATCCCGGCTCTCCACAGTTTTATAATATTGTAGGAAAGATAAAAATACAACCAAGTTATCATATTCTTTTATTTATTTATTTATTTATTTATTTTTTGAGATTCAGTCTTGCTCTGTTGCCCAGGCTGGAGGCAGTGGTGCGATCTCAGCTCACTGCAACCTCCGCCTCTCAGGTTCAAGCAATTCTCCTGTCTCAGCCTCCCGAGTGGCTGGGATTACAGGCATGCACCACCATACCGGCTAATTTTTGTATTTTTAGTAGAGATGGGGTTTCACCATATGGGCCAGGCTGGTCTGGAACTCCTGACCTCAGGTGATCTGCCCACCTTGGCCTCCCAAAGTGGTAGGATTACAGGCATGAGCCACCGCGCGCAGCCCCAAGTTATCTTCTTAATACCACTGGAATGTATGCTTAAAAACAGTTAATATAGCAAATTTTATGTTGTATATATTTTAACACAATTAAAAATAAATTTAAATGTATGTTTTAGAAAGAGATAAAGAGATGTATGTACATAATTACTATACGGTTATACGGTATTACAAATCCTAGCAGGAATGTCATCTATAAAATTGTGTAGGAGCACCAAGAAGAAATCACATACAGCCCCAGTGACAAGAGATAATCTTAATAACTGCTTCATAAGCAAAAGCTTTCATATCATTCTTGGAAGGCTGAATTGAGTTTTGTAAAGCAACAAGCTTGAGAACTCTTGACTGATTTATGGATGAAGAAGGCCAATAGGAATATAGTTTCACCAACATTCAGCAGCAACCTACTGATAACCAGCCAAGACAGAATAAGTGAAAATAGCACAGAGGTTAAAAGACCCAGGAGATGCAAAAGTACATCCCCAGGAGAAAGGAATAGAGGTGACCTGACAGATGATGCAAGAAAGGCACACGGACTCCTCCTGCTTCACAATGTTGCTTCAAATCAATTCTGGTGCTAATTAATTAGGGTGACTATACAATGTATTGACCAAACCTAGTATTGAGAGTAAAGTGGATGTCTACTAATAATTATCCAGGGCAACTGGGATAAATGGTGATCTTATATATTCGACTCTGGCTTTGGGAATTTGGCCAAGTTCCCTTTGTGAGCTTCCATTTAAATGGGAACTATATCTACTCCAGAACTGTGAGCTTTTAATTTAAAAATGTGTGTGTGTGTGTGTGTGTAAAATGCCAATTTATTGTAGACAACTGAAAAAATATTATTGATAAGTAATTAAACAAAATAATCTAGGATCTATCCCAATTCCAACTTTGGCCTTATGCCATTAATATACACTCATTAATGGAAAGTAGAAATGACAGGGTAATCACGACGTTTAGAAGCTGAATGGGTGGGGAAATTTACTTGTACAAGAACATTCTTGATCCATTTCTGCCTACCAGGGGGCTTCTGCTGCAACTGATGTAACACTGCAGACCTCTGCATTGCAAACAGAGGTCATCCTAAGGGAGTTATCACAGACACAGGGCCAGACAGGGCAGACACATCAGGGAATAGCTTTATGTTCGAAAGAAACACCAAGTAATCTGTATGTTCTTAGGTCTGAACATCACAAGTGATCCCTTTTTCCAACTAATGGTTTCCTTCATCCCTGCTCCTTGTTTATAATGGCTGTGGGGAGTAAACCTAGGAGAGCAACTGTTGCAAATGAGCAGATCCTATGTTTGTTTCTCTCTTGTTTTGTCAGAGGGTCCAAGTGAATGCTGCAAAATTATAGCAAAAAGTAGGTGGACAGTTCACCAAAAATAAGGGATAATATTATCTTTGGTATTGTAGGTGATAATCAGGTCCTTGGGAGATCTTGCTATAGACAAGCCAGAAAACATGTACCCACTTCTATTTCAATTTCTTTTAGGGTTTATGTATTAATAGCTCAGTTTCAGTTTTCAATATGACTTTAGGGCTAAAGGCACAATGTAGGGGAGAATACAACAATTAGTAATTTTCTCAATCTGTACTGGTCCTAAAAACCCACACTTGTAGCCCAAATGTATCTTATAATTTACACGCAGACTTCTCTCCTTGTGTATACATTACTGTTACAGGTTTTGTTACTGAGTATCTGTTGACCTTGACTTTGAATTGCTTGATCTCTCAGTGTCTCTGCTTTGCTTAACCTTAATGGCAACAATATTTTTCCTACTTTCTAGGACAGGTAAAACATGTGCTTAAAAAAAAAACCCCTTAATAAGTAAAAATTGGTAATGAAGTAAACCAGAAATAAGTTTCAAGTTTTGTTACTTCCATTAAATTACATGACCTCAGACAAGTCACCTTATTTCTCTGGGCCTTGTACTTCTCATCTGTATAATGAAGGGACTAGGCTAAGTCCCTTCTAGTTCTAATGTTCTACCATTCTATCATTCTAAAGCCAAGCCCTTCAGACAACCAGGGTATAAGGAAGAAGGTAAGTATTTCTCACACCCTGCAGAGATTTTTAAAAAGAAAAGAAAAAGAATGTTGTTATTTATTCTTGAGATAACTTTAGGTCTTTGGGAAAGCAGGACTAGGCAGATCTTCTCTCTTATGGAGTAATTTTTTTTTTTTTTCAAGAAAAGATGCTATGTGCCTCTCTTGGGTGAGCACTTAATTTCCAGAATTAAAATCAATCCCAATGAAATGAAACATTCATCACAAGTGATAAAACACAAAGGTATTTGTCACAGCGTTAATAATATATGGCTATATTTAAAGCTACTCTATTGACCTGGCAATGACAAGGTGCCATTCTGAAACAGCCATATGAAGTTTCCAAAGCAACAAGCAAACACTTTCACTTTATACTCCAGAGGCACATTTTGCACATTTATAAGGCACGCACACACACACACACACACACAAAGGAAGGAAAGAAAAAGATATTATGTATGATGGTTGATTTTAGGTGTCAAGTTGACTGGATTAAGGAATATTCAGTTAGCTGGTAAAGCATTATTTCTGGGTGTGTCTGTGAGGGTGTTTCTGGATGAGATTGGCCTTTGAATCAGTAGACTGAGTAAGGAAGATCCACCCCAATGTGGACAGGCACCATTCCATTGGCTGAGGGTCCAGATAGAACAAAAGCAGAGGAAAGGTGAATTTGCTCACTCTCTCTACTGAAGCTGAGATGCCCTTCTGCCCTTGGACATCAGAACTACAGTTTCCCTGGCCTTTGGACTCCAGGACTTGCACCAGTGCCTCCTTGCCCTCCCTCCCGACCCCCATCCTTGATTCTTGCACCATTGACTTACACCATTGACTTCGCTGGTTCTGAGGCTTTCAGACTTAGACGGAGCCACTCTAATGGCATCCCAGGGTTTCCAGCTTGTAGATGGCCTGTCCATGGGACTTCTCACTTTCCATAATCACCTGAGCCAATTCTCCAAATAAATCCGCTCTCATCTCTCTATCTGTCTATCTGTATATATCCTATTGGTTCTCTCTCCCTGGAGAACCCTTATTAATATACTAGGTAATTTTCTTTAAACCCTCAATGAGAAGCTACAGTAAAAAAATTTATGCCTTACACATTTTGAAGACATAGATAACTTATACGTTTAATAAATTTAATAAATATGATTTCAAGTTTTGCAAAGGTAAAATCTTTTTTTAGATTCAAATATCCAAAGTAGGAAGGAGCCTACAGAATTATTTAGCTTGATCTCTTGCTACTGTGAATGACCCCAGAGTCTGCTGCACAAAAAACACCTCGGTGTTGGTGCTTAGGAACTGAAGTTCTTGTCCTGGTAGCAGCCAAGTGACGTGAAGGAAATATAGGCTTAATCCCTTATTTGCAAAGGAACATGTTTGAATGCCAAATATTATACATTATTAAAGTCATTCCAGATAGGTAGAGATCTGTCCTTTGCTGAAACAACTATAAGTACAATGATGATGACAACGAAAGCAACAGATATCCAGAGAAACAAGCTGTATGAAACCTAACATCAGTAGTGGACGGAGTCAGAGTAAAAGGGCTTTCTTAAACTTAATTCTAATCCCTCAATTTAGTTGAAGTCCATTTCTGTCCTCAGTGAAGACATAATTGCTAGTCCTCCTTAACTTAAGCCAGAGTTTTCCATACACATAAAGATAGTTATTAGTTATGCTTTTGCTTTCCTTCATTTGTTTCTAGTGTCAAATAGAATTTTTCTTTAAAGTCACACTTCCCTCTTTTGGGGATGGAAGGCAAAGGAATTGCAGTTTCTAGTAATGACTTCTCTATTTCCAAAAGAGCATTCTTAGAAATGCCAAACTGACTCTGGTTAAGAAAATAAATTTACGGCCAGGCGTGGTGGCTCACACCTGTAATCCCAGCACTTTGGGAGGCTGAGGTGGGTAGATCATGAGGTCAGGAGTTTGAGACCAGTCTGGCCAACATGGTGAAACCTCGTCTCTACTAAAAACACAAAAATTAGCCAGGCGTGGTGGCACACTCCTGTAATCCCAGCTACTCAGGAGGCTGAGGCAGGAGAAGTGCTTGAACCCAGAAGGAGGAGGTTGCAGTGAGCTGAGATCATGACACTGTACTCCAGCCTGGCGATAGAGTGAGACTCTGTCTCAAAAAAAAAAAAAAAGAAAGAAAGCAAATTTACATTCCAATAAAGTAGAATCATGCAACCAAATTGGTAACATCATTTTTAGATCTATTTGTTTTCCCGAGTATTCTGTACAGTTGTTGCTCGGTTCTTCATACAACATTACCCAACAGTGTCTGGGACCCTCTGTCTATAGCTCCCTTTCCTTTCCTACTACAAATTAAGAATCCTTCATCTGAAAATCCAACATATGAAATGCTCTGAACTCCAAATCTCTTTCAGCACTGATACAACTCCACAGGTGGAAAACTGCACACCTGACCTCATCTACAAACTTTGTTGCATACACAAGATTATTTAAAATATTGTGTAAAATTACCCCAGCTTATGTGCCTAAGTTATATAAGAAACATAAATGAATTTCATGTTTGGATTTGGGTCCCATCCCCAAGATATTTCATTAAGCATTTTCAAATATTTCAAAATCCAAAACAAAAAATCAGAAATCCAAAACACTTTTGATCACAAGCATTTTGGATAAGGAATACTCAACCTGTATTGCTATTTGGCCATCAGTCTAAAGGAAAGCAGTTTTCCATCAGGGAAAAGAAGGAAAAAGCAGCTATTGTCTAGCCTGAACCTGCTCTTTTATTTCCACACATTTTACTACTGTGATCCCTAAAATGTCGAGATGATATTGGTCCCACCAAAGGTAGAGTGTATTGGTGGAAATACCAGGTAGAAACAATTATCCAACATTCCTACCTCACCCCAATCCACACATGGCCTCCCATAGGCCTTCTGAGGCAGGATGACACAAGGCAAATATTTTCTTTAATTAAAGAAATTGTCCCAAACCTTGCTGCCAAGAAGTGAGCCACAACTTTTAGTTAAAAGTAAGAAATCAAACGAACTAAACTAGCCTTTTCAGCAAAGCTACAAAGAGATTTTCAGGCAAGGAAATTCTAAAGATTCTATCAACAAAAGATGCTGGACATTTTCCTGAACACAAAGTTGTGGATATTTTTGGATGCTGGAAAACATGTGATTGTCTAGGAACACAGAAGTATGCCATACAAACGTCCAGGACCCACTGGAAAAGAAAACTCTGCGAAGTCTACAACTGCGATATTTTAAGATACTTTTACAGAATGTACCTAATTATGTCATTCTAAACCTTAAACCTACATGAACACGTATCAGAGCCAACATCTTTACATCATGCACACGTTTAACATCTCACTAACGCTTGTGAGCAGGAGAATAAAGTCTTTGTGTTAGCAACAAAAGCATCATACTGCTTCCTTCAGACAACACCCACTTTTGTGTAGCCAAACCCTCCAACTCTGAAGCTTTTAATAAGCTACTTGCCCACAAATTAAAAGAGATTCTCCAATTCCATCACTAGAAAAGAATGTGATTTCAGCATCACAAGAGTAAATAAAATAGTAATCCTAGTGCCATAAATTATGCATCTTTCATCTCAAAGGACAATAAATAAAGCATCTTTCATCCCTATGAATCCTGAAGCAGTTAACAATTTATACACTAGCATGGGGGAATCAATTGATTCATCACTGAAAGGCATCCTGCTCTGGGATGCTGTAGTATTTTGTTAATAGCACACACAAGCCTTACTGAAAGATGAGAAGCAAGGAAATGTTACTCCAATGGTTTACGTTTGAGAGATTTAAGTAGAGGTGATAGGACTCTAATTGCAATTCACTCACAGTAAGAGTTCTCTCTCATTTGAGCTCAAGACTTCCCAGATACAAAGGTATAATTCTTCAAAGGTCATTGCTAGTGTTCCCATTTCTTCTCACATGGTTTTTTACAATACACTTTTTTGAAGCAAATATTTACTCACATCATTCACCTGTTGAAATACCTTGTCACTCTTCTTTGCCTAGCATGAAACTTCTTAGTATGGCATGAAGGGTTCTCGACCTCCTAGCTGCTGATTTTGGAAGATCCTCCACCATTCAACAACCCTGGATGAGTTATTCTCAACTGTTGGGAGAGAAGGATCCAGGGTAAAGATAAGGCGACCATATACCTTGCCATTCAAACTGAGCCACATGTGAGAGTGCAAGGAACATACAACAGTAATATTTACATCAGAACAAGAGTAAACTGGGAATGTCCATGGCACACAGGACTATGACTCCCCCCAGTGAAGGGAAACATCTCATAAGAGTTTCTGAAAGGTTTGTGTAGGGGGTCATAAGCAGTTTGATAAAACATATTTAATATTCCTGGTGCCTTTGTAACAGCATCCACAGCTGAACAACACATTTCTGGCTGGCTTGGCTTCTCTAGAAGACAGAATGAGAAAGCATTATAGGAGTTTTGAGTTTTGAAAGGTTGGATAACACTGTTCTAGAATCAGCATGGCAAAATTCTGTCTGAAAACCCACCAAGCTCTCTGAGCTGCACTTGAAGACATGTGGTACCACTTCAGTGCTCCTGAAGAGAGCTGGCATGATCAGAAAGAGGAGCTCTGTTCCCAAGCCCTTGTCTCTGGCACTGAATGAACCTCTGGATGGGTGCCAAAGGCTTTACAAAGGTTCTATTTTCCTCATTCACACGTTAGAGATATAACATCAGTGGTGATGACTAGTACCGAGAGCCATATTTTCTCATTCCATGCCAAATATGGCATTTCATTAATGAACTAGGCATCTCTCTCTATATTATAGACCCTGGAGTTAGTTATGATCAAATAGGAAAAATTTCATCTACTGAACCATTAACTTCACTCTACAAGTATTTACATTTTTCTTTAAAAAAACTTATTTTCACTGTAATCCCAGCACTTTGGGAGGCCGAGGCAGGCAGATCACCTGAGGTCAGGAGTTCAAGACCAGCCTGGCCAACATGGAGAAACCCTATCTCTACTAAAAATACAAAAAATTAGCTGGGCATGGTGGCAGGTGCCTGTAATCCCAGCTACTTGAGAGGCTGAGGCAGAACTGTCTGAACCCGGGAGGCAGAGATTGCAGTGAGCCAAGATCACACCATTGCACTCCAGCCTGGGCAACAAGAGCGAAACTCCAACTTAAAAAAAAAAAAAATTCAAATACATATTCAACACTGAGACTCTATAGTACCACAATGCAGCAGCACATTGACTTGGCTTCTGAAAAGTACCTTAAAGCATCCTTTCCCCAGTCTTGGCTTCTGAAAAATACCTTAAAGCATCCTTTCCCCAGTCTTGGGCTCAGTCTGTGTGAGAGTTAGGTTTTCTGCTTGTTTGGTTTTAACTTTAAAAAAAAAAATTGTGGCCAGGCACGGTGGCTCACGCCTGTAATCCCAGCACTTTGGGAGGCGGAGGCGGGCAGATCACCTGAGGTCAGGAGTTCAAGATCAGCCTGGCTAACACAGTGAAACCCTGTTTCTACTAAAACTACAAAAAATAAGCTGGGCGTGGTGGTGCGTGCCTGTAATCCCAGCTACTCGGGAGGCTGAGGCAGGAAAATCGTTTGAACCCGAGAGGCGGAGGTTGCAGTGAGCCGAGATTGCACCATTGCACTCCAGCTTGGGTAACAAGAGTGAAACTCTGTCTCAAAAAAAAAAATGTATAATATAAACTCAAATTGGGCTGCGCTCTAAGATACGTGAAAGCACATACCCACAGAAAATAAGCTGCCTCCAAGTCTGCAAGTCTTAGACTTTGCAAATATTGACAATGTCAGCCTGTAAGAGCCTTTACACATGTACGCATTCAATCAATACATGGATTGATACTTAGATCTAGAGGCAGTTAAAAAGAGCAGTGTTCAAGGATAGTAAGGAAGAACGACTTGTTTGCAGCCCTGGTTGCTGAACACACTGCAGAGCTCAGAAAAGAGTAGGTGTTCAATAAATATTTGTTGAATAAGTGTTGAAAGAACACCTATAAATCTTTCTCTTCTCACAATGACTCAAACATATAAAGCAGAATGATAGCCCTTGGGCTAGGAAGGTTGGCCTGCGTGATTTCCCCGTTAGCCTGCCTGATTCCAGGTGGGAAGAAAACAGCTTGGCTGCCTCTGCTTAACCTCAAGCTCTTAGCTTTCCCATAACTTTATTAGATAACTCATCTTTTCCTCACCCAAGACAGATTGAGGAACCTATGCATATCCTAGGGTGAAAAAGTAGTACTCTGCACAGGAATGACTCAGCTGTAATGACAGGCCATGGATCGGAGAGGGCAGCTGGTTTCCAATATTCACCCTTCTGTGGACCTAACGAACCTACTGAGGCCAGCTCTAAAAACACTGACTCTTACACATTGAGCCTATCTTTGCAAATTAATTGCAGTCCAGGACCACCACAATGTATGACCTATTCTGCTCTACACAGTGACACTGTGCCTATCCACTCACATAAAGCTTTCTTGATCAAGTAGAATGAAAGAAAGATCCAAAAGAGTACACAACTTGACCAGGAACAACAACTACCACCAAAAGAGAAACCAGCATTAGCTTAAGGGAGGAGTTCTTATACATCTGGCATTATTTGGGAACAAGGTGTTCCAGATTTATGAATTTGCCAGAGTTTAGGAAAAGGCAGACTCTGTGTGAAGAACATATGCAATGGACATGCAATAACTAAGGATGGAAATTAATTACATCTGTGCAAGAAGGAAGTGGGGGCCAGAGAGAGGGCAAGGGAATCAAGCCCTCAAGAGCTCATAAAGAGACTGAGGGGAATTCTGGGTTTTTCAGGACACATAGGGATTTGGGCTGATTTCATGTGAATCTAAAATGATGGAGTGACTCCCCAGTAACACTGGAGAATCAAGAAACTTGCAAATTTAGGGCTAGAACCCAGGTGTTTTCAACCAGTCAGCCGCTCTTCCCAAACATCATTTTGCCCTTCACATATGTGATAACATGCTCTATAAAGTTGCCCAAGTTTGAGAGGAATTTTTAGAATATAACTTTACAAAGGACAGATGTGTGTTTTATATTTATATTTATGTAAAACACACGTATATGTGTGTGTGAGGGAGAGAGAGAGGGGGGCTTTATATAACGCACAGCAAGGGTTTTATTTTCTCCCTTCTGCATCTGTAAGCTCATTTCTAATCAGAGAGCCGTTTCACAACACAGGCAGCTGAGGAAGAAGATTGGCCCTTCAGGGCGAGCCGGCTTGTTTCCACTTGCTACAGAGGTGAGGAGTAGTGGTGCTGCCAGCTGCCCTGATAGTGACTCCATCTGCCCTGCCCCCACCATCGCCCCAGGCCGTGCCACACCTCCCCAAGCCAACTGCTGGGCTTCTGAAGGCACCCTGAGATACCAAGCGTTACCTGGCAACCGCGCACCTGTGAGCCAGGTCAGCCAGGCAGGTGGTGCTAACCTGTGTGTTCAGGTCTGAGGGCGCCCAATGCGTTCCTGTGCTCCCTCATTACAGCTCACTCCCTCGGCCCAGAGAGAACAGAGCTGATTGTTTTCCTTCTCGGTTTCCTAGAGACAACAGATCCACTGATTAGCTTTCTCCATCAAGCATTCAAAAAGGCCAAGCTACACACCGTAACATTAACCTTGAACTTGGAACTCTTAAGAAAGTGCCCAGTTTTATTTGGGGAAAAGATCTCTGCCAGCAAAGCCGATCCTTAATTTGGGAAATGTAAGGAAAGAACTCAGAGTAGTTAATAATAAATTATAATGCATGTGTGTAAAAAGAGAAAAAAAATATGTAACAATTATGCTTTCATTTTGTTTGGTTTTGCTTTGATCTCTGTTCTTCCCCACCCCGTCGCCACCAGAAGAGGTTCACCTGTCTGAGGAGAGATGATGAGATGGCTCTGGGATGGGCCTCTCTGGCCATTTCAAGGAGCAAGCGGTTCAGGGTTTGACCAGCTGTGACTCTCCACTGTATCCAGAGTTCCCGCTGCTGGCATGGAAACCTGACATTGACCTCACTTCTTGTCTGCTGACCTTGCTCATCTCAGGCACCATTTTCTGGAAGCAGATGAACAACTGTAAGGACAGAGAACTAGGCTGCTGCAGTGCCTCCTCCTTCCATCGCCCCAAGGGGAGTAGGTCTGGGCAGGGAAGGACCCAGCCAAAAGTGGTTGTCTGTACGCTGCTGGGGCAACCCCAATAAATATTTTGTAAATGTTTCTTTAGTCCCCCTTAGTGCATTAAGAAAAAAAATTCTGTGCTCATTTTTGCATGTACCATATCCCTAGCTTTGTAGTTGTAGCCATAGATTAAGTTGTATTAGAAATCCGACTTCCTTTATTACATTACTCTAGTTATCCCTTCTTTTCTCTGCCTTTATTTGTTCCCTAGTCGTTTCTGTCCTCTCTCATTCTCCCCGCATGTGACTTTTTGTCTTAACCCATTACTTTTTGCTGTACTGTCTCTTCCATGCCATCCAACTTTATCCCATTGGCTGTGTGTCCTGAAAATGTCCAAATTAGGTGTTTATGCCTCTATAAAAAGCATTTTCTGAATCACCCTTAGGAGATCAATCCCCTGTCCTCCTGCTCTTTGCTCCGTAAGAAAGATCCACCTACGACCTCAGGTCCTCAGACCGACCAGCCCAAGAAACATCTCACCAATTTCAAATCCGGTAAGCGGCCTCTTTTTACTCTCTTCTCCAACCTCCCTCACTATCCCTCAACCTCTTTCTCCTTTCAATCTTGGCGCCACACTTCAATCTCTCCCTTCTCTTAATTTCAATTACTTTCATTTTCTGGTAGAGACAAAGGAGACACGTTTTATCCATGGACCCAAAACTCCGGCACCAGTCACGGACTAAGGAAGGCAGCCTTCCCTTGGTGTTTAATCATTGCAGGGACGCCTCTCTGATTATTCACCCAGGTTTCAGAGGTGTCAGACCACGCAGGGATGCCTGCCTTGGTCCTTTACCCTTAGCGGCAAGTCCCGCTTTTCTGGGGGAAGGGCAGGAACCCCGACCTCTTATCTCTGTGCCCCGATCCCAAATTTCCGCACCCTGACCTCTTATCTCTGCACCCCGATCCCTTATTTCCATGCCCCAACCTCTTATCTCTGCACCCCAACCCCTTATTTCTGCACCCTGACCCCTTCTCTGCTTTTCTGGAAGGCAAGAACCCCCCACCCCTTCTCCGTGTCTTTACTCTCTTTTCTCTGGGCTTGCCTCCTTCACTATGGGCAAGCTTCCACCTTCCATTCCTCCTTCTTATCCCTTAGCCTGTGTTCTTAAGAACTTAAAACCTCTTCAACTCTCACCTGACCTAAAATCTAAGCATCTTATTTTCTTCTGCAATGCCACCTGACCTCAATACAAACTCGACAGTAGTTCCAAATAGCCGGAAAACAGCACTTTCAATTTTTCCATCCTACAAGATCTAAATAATTCTTGTCGTAAAATAAGCGAACGGTCTAAGGTGCCTGACGTCCAGGCATTCTTTTACACAACGGTCCCTCCCTAGTCTCTGTTCCCAATGCAACTCGTCCCAAATCTTCCTTCTTTCCCTCCCACCTGTCCCCCCAGTCCCAACCCCAAGCGTCGCTGAGTCTTTCTAATCTTCCTTTTCTACAGACCCATCTGACCTCTCTCCTCCTCACCAGGCCTAGCTAGGTCCCAATTCTTCCTCAGCCACCGCTCCTCCACCCTATAATCCTTTTATCACCTCCCTTCCTCACATCCGGTCCAGCTTACAGTTTCATTCTGTGACTAGCCCTCCCCCACCTGCCCAGCAATTTACTCTTAAAAAGGTAGCTGGAGCTAAAGGCTTAATCAAGGTTAATGCTCCTTTTTCTTTATCCCAAAGCAGATAGTGTTTAGGCTCTTTTTCATCAAATATAAAAACCCAGCCCAGTTCATGACTCGTTTGGCAGCAACCCTGAGACACTTTACAGCCCTAGACCCTAAAAGGTCAAAAGGCCGTCTTATTCTCAAAATACATTTTATTACCCAATCTGCTCCCGACATTAAATAAAACTCCAAAAATTAAATTCCGGCCCTCAAACCCCACAACAGGACCTAATTAACCTTGCCTTCAAGGTGTACAATAATAGAGCAGAGGCAGCCAAGTAGCAACATATTTCTGAGTTGCAATTCCTTGCCTCCACTGTGAGACAAACCCCAGCCACATGTCCAGCACACAAGAACTTCCAAACGCCTAAACCACAGTGGCCAGGTGTTCCTCCAGAACATCCTCCCCCAGGAGCTTGCTACAAGTGCCAGAAATCTGGCCACCACCCCAAGGAATGCCCGCAGCCCAGGATTCCTCCTAAGCCGTGTCCCATCTGTGCAGGACCCCACTGGAAATCAGACTGTTCAACTCACCTGGCAGCCACTCCCAGAGCCCCTGGAACTCTGGCCCAAGGCTCTCTGACTGACTCCTTCCCAGATCTTCTCGGCTTAGTGGCTGAAGACTGATGCTACCTGATTGCCTCGGAAGCCCCACAGACCATCACAGACGCCGAGCTTTAAGTAACTCTCACAGTGGAAGGTAAGGCCGTCCCCTTCTTAATCAATACGGAGGCTACCCACTCCACATTACCTTCTTTTCAAGGGCCGGTTTCCCTTGCCTCCATAACTGTTGTGGGTATTGACGGCCAGGCTTCTAAACCTCTTAAAACTCCCCAACTCTGGTGCCAACTTAGATAATACCTTTTAAGCACTAGTTTTAGTTATCCCCACCTGCCCAGTTCCCTTATTAGGCTGAGACACTTTAACTAAACTATCTGCTTCCCTGACTATCCCTGGACTACAGCTACATCTCATTGCCGCCCTTCTTCCCAATCCAAAGCCTCCTTTGCGTCCTCCTCTTGTATTCCCCTACCTTAACCCACAAGTATAAGATACCTCTACTCCCTCCTTGGTGACCGATCATGCACCCCTTACCATCTCATTAAAACCTAATCACCCTTACCCCACTCAATGCCAATATCCATCCCACAGCATGCTTTGAAAGGATTAAAGCCTGTTATCACTCGCCTGCTACAGCATGGCCTTTTAAAGCCTATAAACTCTCCTTATCATTCCCCCATTTTACCTGTCCTAAAACCAGACAAGCCTTACAAGTTAGTTCAGGATCTATGCCTTATCAACCAAATTGTTTTGCCTATCCACTCCATGGTGCCAAAGCCATATACTCTCCTATCCTCAATACCTCCCTCCACAATCCATTATTCTGTTCTGGATCTCAAACATGCTTTCTTTACTATTCCTTTGCACCCTTCATCCCAGCCTCTCTTCGCTTTCACTTGGACTGACCCTGACACCCATCAGGCTCAGCAAATTACCTGGGCTGTACTGCCGCAAAGCTTCACAGACAGCCCCCATTACTTCAGTCAAGACCAAATTTCTTCCTCATCTGTTACCTATCTCGGCATAATTCTCATAAAAACACACGTGCTCTCCCTGCCGATCATGTCCGACTAATCTCTCAAACCCCAACCCCTTCTACAAAACAACAAGTCCTTTTCTTCCTGGGCATAGTTGGATACTTTCACCTTTAGATACCTGGTTTTGCCATCCTAACAAAACCATTATATAAACTCACAAAAGGAAACCTAGCTGACCCCATAAATCCTAAATCCTTTCCCCACTCCTCTTTCTGTTCCTTGAAGACAGCTTTAGAGACTGCCCCCATCCTAGCTCTCCCTGACTCATCCCAACCCTTTTCATTACACACAGCTGAAGTGCAGGGCTGTGCAGTCGGAATTCTTACACAAGGACCGAGATCGCGTCCTGTAGCCTTTTTGTCCAAACAACTTGACCTTACTGTTTTAGGCTGGCCATCATGTCTCCGTGCAGCAGCTGCTGCCGCCCTAATAGTTTTAGAGGCCCTTAAAATCACAAACTATGCTCAACTCACTCTCTACAGCTCTCATAATTTCCAAAATCTATTTTCTTCCTCCCACCTGACGCATATACTTTCTGCTCCCCGGCTCCTTCAGCTGTACTCACTCTTTGTTGAGTCTCCCACAATTACCAATGTTCCTGGCCCAGACTTCAATCCGGCCTCCCACATTATTCCTGATACCACACCTGACCCTCATGACTGCATCTCTCTGATCCACCTGACGTTCACCCCATTTCCCCACATTTCCTTCTTCCCTGTTTCTCACCCTGATCACACTTGGTTTATTGATGGCAGTTCCACCAGGCCTAATCGCCACACACCAGCAAAGGCAGGCTATGCTATAGTACAAGCCAATAGCCCGCCTCTTAGAACCTCTCATATCCTTTCCATCGTGGAAATGTATCCTCAAGGAAATAACTTCTCAGTGTTCCATCTGCTATTCTACTACTCCTCAGGGATTATTCAGGCCCCCTCCCTTCCCTACACATCAAGCTCAGGGATTTGCCACCGCCTAGGACTGGCAAATCAGCGTTACTCAACATGCCCCGAGTCAGGAAACTAAAATACCTCTTGGTCTAGGTAGACACTTTCACTGGATAGGTAGAGGTCTTTCCCACAGGGTCTGAGAAGGCCACCACGGTCATTTCTTCCCTTCTGTCAGACATAATTCCTCAGTTTGTCCTTCCCACCTCTATACAGTCTGATAGCAGACTGGCCTTTATTAGTCAAATCAGCCAAGCATTTTTTCAGGCTTAGTATTCAGGTGAAACCTTTATATCCTTTACAGTCCTCAGTCTTCAGGAAAGGTAGAACAGACCAATGGCCTTTTAAAAACACACCTCACCTAGCTCAGCCACCAACTTAAAAAGGACTGGACAATACTTTTACCACTTTCCCTTCTCAGAATGCAGGCCTGTCCTTGGAATGCTACAAGGTACAGCCCATTTGAGCTCCTGTATAGATGCTCCTTTTTATTAGGCCCCAGTCTCATTCCAGACACCAGACCAACTTAGACTGTGCCCCAAAAATTTGTCATCCCTACTATCTTCTGTCTAGTCATACTCCTATTCACCATTCTCAACTACTCATACATGCTCTGCTCTTGTTTACACTGCCGGTTTATACTGTTTCTCCAAGCCATCACAGCTGATATCTCCTGGTGCTATCCCCAAACCGCCACTCTTAACTCTTGAAGTAAATAAATAATCTTTGCTGGCAAGGCTATGTTGAACCTCCTTAGGCACTCTCTAATTAGATGTCCTAGGTCCTCCCAATTCTTAGCCCTTTAATACCTGTTTTTCTCCTTCTCTTATTCCGTTTAGTTTTTCAATTCATACAAAACCATATCCAGGCCATCACCAATAATTCTAAATGACAAATATTTCTTCTAACAACCCCACAATATCACCCCTTACCACAAAATCTTCCTTCAGCTTAATCTCTCCCACTCTAGGTTCCCACGCTGCCCCTAATCCTGCTCGAAGCAGCCCTGAGAAACATCGCCCATTATCTCCCCATACCATCCCCAAAAATTTTCACTGTCCCAACACTTTACCACTATTTCATTTTGTTTTTCTTATTACTACAAGAAGACAGGAATGTCAGGACTCTGAGCCCAAGCTAAGCCATCATACCCCCTGTGACCTGCACGTACACATCCAGATGGCCAGTTCCTGCCTTAACTGATGACATTCCACCACAAAATAAGTGAAAATGGCCTGTTCCTGCCTTAAAGGATGGCATTATCTTGTGAAATTCCTTCTCCTGGCTCATCCTGGCTCAAAAGCTCCCCGACTGAGCACCTTGTGACCACCACTCCTGCCCGCCAGAGAACAACACCCCTTTTTCCTTTACCTACCCAAATCCTATAAAACGGCCCCACCCCTATCTCCCTTCGCTGACTCCCTTTTCGGACTCAGCCCACCTGCACCCAGGCAAAATAAACATCTTTATTGCTCACACAAAGCCTGTTTGGTGGTCTCTTCACACGGACACGAGTGAAAACCCTGCTGGTTCAAAAAGGCACAGTATAAAGGAAGCCGAACAGTAAAGTCAGTCAGGAGCCCACTGGCTTCCAAAGACTTTTTATGAGTAGGCAATCCTCAATTTAAAGATACAAATACTGGTTGCTTTTGTTCTAATCAGTTCCATTTCTTGTGTTCAGGAGTCATTTTTGAATCACCTTATTCCCTTAAATCTTTCATTGTTAAACTTCGCCCCTAAGAGTGCTTGTTCTCCAGTTACTTTACACATTCTAATTTCAGATTAAATCCTCACGGGCTCTGAGCTGCCAGAGGTAAAGTAAGATATTCCTCAGAGCTCCTTTAAAAGATCTGAGCACAATGATGTGAGATTGCAGGTGACTCTGAGGTTCTTCCACCTTTTCTTGCTTCCAGTCTTCTCACAGAGACTTAGATATTTTCTTGTAGTCGAGAAAACTGCTGTGCTGCTACTGTTGATTTTTCAAATGTGTTACTTTTTAAAAATTTTCAATGTAGGAATGGAATACCAAGCAAGCTGTTTTTTAGGAAAACTAAATCTCTCCCTTTAGGGGTCTTTTATAATTTACTTTGTTTCCCAACACTGGGATTTTACAAACCTGTTTCTGGCTTACAATCTCACTTGGAGAAAGAAAATCTCCAGCTTTTGTTGATAAGGTTGATTGTGTTTTGAGTTTTCTTGTTTTAACAAGAAACATTTACATGTTTTATTTTATATATATAAAAGAAATCATTAGCAGTGCCCAAAGTTAATAGCCTAAGAATGTATAGCATAATATACTGCAGTGTCACTGATAGAGTGAAAAAGATTTAACATAGGACTCAGGGGGAGAAAGTATAAACAGTAAGAAACTATTACTACTCCAACTAGTTCTGAAAGAGCTCAATGTGAAACCAACCAGAAAATGATCATCCCACAACCATAAATATAAAGCAGTAAAAAAGACAAAAGCTCTCTGGCATTGTGAAAAATCCATAAATAAAAAGCACCCCCAAAGCATTTGCTAGCAAAAGTATTTAGTGCAGCAGTAAAAAAGAGTATTTGTTTTCTTTATATTAAGTGATTTTTTATGGAATCTGTACAATTAAACACTACATAAGAACACCAGAACTGGAGTTTGCGTTTGTACCTCATTGAGTATAGAATCAGGAAGATGCAGAATCTGAAGAGGCGACATGCCTTACATTGTATAGTCAAGGTTACTTGTAATGTTTTGTTAAGTAGAAAGTGTCCCATACTGAAAAAAAAATCATTTTTTGAATGTACAGATATACACACTGCCACACAATATGAAAACAAGGCTCTCTTTTATAGCTTTATATTTAAATAAAGAGTTGCATTCTGAGGTTGACAGCTCCACTCCAAAAGGCAATCCTATCAGGCCCATCTTCCTATCAGATATATTTTAGTTAAGGAAGATATTATCTTATTTCATTTTATTGATATTCATTAGGCCACATAAGAAAGGGAGATTTTTCTTAAAGATGAAGTTGTCAGCTGAAAGGAAGCCACAATAGACCTCAGCACCAAGCCCTAAGCACTTAGAATAAGTAGCAGCAAATTAAAGAAAAGATGTGATGAATTATACACAATATCATCATCATTTAGTAAGTTAAAGACTTCCACATCTTAATAAAACATCAGGGACCTTGATGTCAATAATGAACCTAATAATGCTAATCATAACAGTAGTGTTACCTTATACGTGTTTTGTCCCTTGATGAGTCCAAGTGACTACAGTGGATGGGTCAGCAGTTTCACCCCTCACATTCACTCTACAGTGTACAGAGGTAATTATGGCCCCCAAATGGATAGAACTGCTGGCGCTGAAGGCACAGTGACAGAAGCTGGCATAACCTCCACCCCAATATCATTCACAAAGGACTTGCTTGTGCAATGTCGAGTGGAACCACGTGCCCTTCCAATGGCTAGACTCTCCTGAGGAAATGTGAAAGGGAGGTATTATCACTGCTAGTTTGGACCATATGCAGTTTCCAACAACTGCCTTAAAAATGACCCACATGGCTCATGCCTGTAATCCCACCACTTTGGGAGGCCGAGGAGGGTGGATCACCTGAGGTCGGGAGTTCGAGACCAGCCTGACCAACAAGGAGAAATCCCATCTCTACTAAAAGTACAAAATTTGCCAGGTATGGTGGCGCATGCCTGTAATCCCAGCTACTCGGGAGGCTGAGGCTGGAGAATCACTGAACCCTGGAGGCGGAGGTTGTGGTGAGCCGAGATTGCACGATTGCACTTCAGCCTGGGCAACAACTGTGAAACTCCGTCTCAAAAAAAAAAAGACCCACATGGATAGCAATTTCATGTGGGTGCAAACTAATAACTGACAAACTTAATACAGAACTTGAGCCATTGAGAACAGTTTGCCTATTGCAAAAGGGGGGTTCTTAACTGGTCCAACCCTACTTGTTTTTTACAAATCTTTTCTCTCTGAGAATGAGAGCAATTTGGGGAATATACACCTGGTTATACCAAAGATTAAATCAAACCATGTCACTTTAGAATTTACAAAGAACTTTTAAGACATTAGGCTCTGTAACCTCACAACAATCCTTTGAGATCATTATTGCTATCGCCTTTTTGGAGACAGGAAACTGAGGCAAAGAGAAGTTCAGTGACTTGCCAAAGATCACAAAGGTACTTAATGTTCAAGCCAGGATTCAAGTACAAATCTTTGTTTCAAAATGCAGTGTTCTTTCCACTTTATTCCAGTGCCGATATCAGCCACTGTGAATGCCTTTTAAACATCTACAATATGAAAGGCACCATAATCTGTAATGATCGTACATGGAGGGAGGTGGATCAGGGAAAGTGCAGATTTAAAGCTGATTCCCAGGTTCCAAATCTATGCATCAGGGAGGATTTCCCCTGTATCAGCAAAAATAGGGCATTCTTGAGGTAAAATAGGGTTTAGAGGGAAAGGCCATAAGTATAAGTTTAAGCTCAGTGTTTGAAATTTTATAGTGTATCTTGGAGGTGGCCAATAGTGAGAGAGCTCAGGAAGGAAGTTGAGAATTGGGATGAGATTACCACAGGAAGCTGGATGAGATCAATCAGGGAAAAGAAAGGAAGGGGAGGAAGGCTGTGAATAAAATATCAGGGGAACATAGAGGGTGGGGAGGAACACATATATTCAGAAAGACAGAAAAAGCGAAGTCTCATTTCAGAGAGTGGAAAAATTAGTCTTAAGATGGGAAAGGACACTACATCCCCAAAGATAAAAAGGAAAGACAATGGAATGTAGTAACCGCATAAAGAAATTGTGACCCTGAAGGAAGAAGAATTGAGGAAGTGCATGTTGGATAATCCCAACTTTCTCATTAACGACAAATGAAAGAGATGGGTTTTATGTTCTCAAGAGTAACATTTTGGGATGGCTACTGCAGAGGAAATTAGAAGGAACTAGAGATAAATAAAACCAAATCTGCTCAGTAGGGAGGACCTAAGTGTTTTGAGCGAATTTGAGTATGTAGTGGAGAAATGATCATAGTTACCGGGAAATTATCCCAAGGGTAGAGAAATAGAAGAATTTAATCAGGTTTAGGAAATAAACAGGAAACCTACACTATAAGGTAAAAAGAACGAGAGGAATTTTAACCTGACTTGACAAGTTAGCTAAGATGGCTAAACATAAAGTCTAAGCTATATAGGCAAGAGAGAATGGACATTTTAAAAAAGATATCAATAAATCAGGTTCAGTAGGTATGGGAGGTAGAGTATGGAAATATAATCTGTGTGTTGATTTGGTAGGCTGGACATGTAATCTCAAATTCTCCACAGTTTTTACCCCTCCCACTTTCATTTTCAGCTATTTACTTTATCTGCCTGTCCCTTGAGAACATGTGAGTTTGTAGCTATTTGTCAAAACTTTCTCCATTCTTTACTCCTCATTATCTCCTAAATACCCTTTGTATTAGCTTCCAATAGTAGCTGTAAAAAATTAGCACAAACTGGGCAACATAAAACAATAGAAGTTTCTTCTCTCACAGTTCTGGAAGTCAGAAGTCAGAAATCAGGGTGTTGATAGGGCCATGCTCCTTTTGGAGGTTTAAGGGGAAAATTGTTCCTTGCCTCTTGTCAACTTCCATTGGTTGTCACAAGGCTGTATCTTTGGGGCCACCATTCAATCCACTTCATACTTCAACCTATCCTCTAGCCACATCCACTCCAAAACACACACACACACACACACACACACACACAATGCCACTTAACCAATTTTCACTAATAGCACTGATGTCTTCCTAATTTTTCGTTATAAAGCTTTGGTTTTCATGAGGTTTTCTACAGTATTGGACATCATTAACAATTGCAGATGTCCGCAAACATCACCTTGCTACTTTCTCTGCTGTCCATTCTTCATGCCATTCCTATTGGGCTCATTTGTTAATACCATCTACTCCCCCATCCTCTTAAATGGTGATGTACACCAGAGGGCTCCCTCTTCTCTCCTCATTTTTTGCTCTCTGAATAAAGCTACACTCACAGTTTCAACTACATCTCTGTGTTCATTATGCCCAATCTATATCCAACCCTGACTTCTTGCCTGATTTTTACACTAGCACCACCCAATGGAACTCGCTGTTATGATGGACAGATTCTATGTCTTCACCGTCCAACACAGTAGCCACTAGCCACATGTAGCTATTGAACGCTTGAAATGTGATCAGTCCTTAAATTTAAATAGCCACATGTTGTATTGACTACCTTATTGGATAGTGCAAATCTAGTCTCCTCTACCCTATATGTCAGTCCTAGTGAATTTGTTGCCAGCCACACTATATGTCTTTCCACATACTCTTATCTTTGCTTGGGTAAGTCACCATTTATCCTTCAGGACTCAGCTCATCTGTGAAGCCTTTTTAACAACTCCAGGTTGAATTACTTGACCCTACTTTTGTCTTTCCACAACTCATTTTCAATAACGTATTTATATATAAATATATAATTTCAATTTTATATGTTTGTATCCATTTCCCTCACTATACCATGAACTCCTTGAAGAACAAGCCTCTGTCTTAATTTGTTCTGCACTCTTTACAAGCCAACACAGGACCTGGCACTTGCTCACTGAATCAATGAAAGAAATGAGTGACTACATTTTGCTTAGAAGTCACCCTGCATTGTCTTAGAGATAAAGCTTATCAAGTTGCAAATTCTAAAATACAAGGGGCTTCTACCCCCTTATATAATCTCCTCATGAGAATGGCCAAGTCAGGACAGTTCAGGAAGCTTTTAAATCTGTGCATTAGATGATAGAGAATCCTGTTTTTTGTTTGTTTTTGTTTGATCTTAGTTTTAGTTTTTAATGTGTTGCACTTTTAGGAGACTTAAAAACTAGAAGTTAACATGGCTAACTGGGCACATGAGCCATTTGGCTGTCACCCTTCATGCTTAAATGCAAATCATTGTAGGAATCGCTCTTCTCTGGAATCTGAAATACAGTCATTCGGAGAATTCCAAATAGTGGGGCATGATTTTTCAAAAATATGCTTTTAAGAAAACAGAGTTGACATTTCTTTGCTACAGGAGGAAAGGAGAGAAAAAGAGAAATTCTGCTCTAATTTTGGCCACAGGATGTGCACAGGGGTGTGTGCATCTCTTTATGGGGTGAAGGAGAGCATTAGTAAAGGGTTAGGCAGGCATGCAGACTGTAGAGAAGGCAGACTGTAGAGAAGGCAACTCATGGAGGCTTTTTCTGTTTCTGTGCATTCTGCCCAGCCTTCATTGCCTATGGCTGCTCTTTTTATGAAAATTGGCGCATATTTAACTGCTATAGCTGTTGGCATCTAGGCTTAGTTTTACCCACAGAGGAGGCATTCATTCACGTTTTAGCTATCATTTCCATTAAAGCTTGCAAGTACAAATGGTACCCAATCTAAATGGGTAAGGCATGACCAAATAAATATATCCCCTGAATACCCTAAACATGGGGTATCTAGAAACACAGTGGTGGTACTTATTGAAAGTGACATTAACTACAAACTTAAAATTTTCCTTCCTAAGTATATAGAAAAGCCAAATAATCTTGGGCAGAAGGTAGGGTGTAGGAATTCCATTAAGATATTACATGGAAAAAAAAAGCTTTAGTCCCATTTTGTCTATTTCAAGCTCCATTTTATTCATATTGTAACTTAGAGAATCATTCAGTGAAATAGAGTGGGAGGAAGAATATGGTCTACATTTCCTTGGAACTTTAGATACATTTTTCTTTCCTGTTTTATCTGTGCATGCAGGCGACATCTCCTTAATGAGAGTCTTCAAACTTCTTTGCCTTTTAGAAGTATCTCTGCTGTGCCCTGGGACACCAGTCACTGATTTTAGCTTTTAAATATGCTCATGATATAAAGTAATTTTTTCCTTAGTGCTATTCATTGTTTTACCTGTCTCAATGGGAATTATGAGTTTGATTAATGGGCAGAAAGATTTGGCCCTTGTTAGAGTCCTTATCTCTATTCCTCCCTGCTGCATGCTGCTTCCGACAGTCTCTGAATGCTCAAGAATAATATCTGCAAGTGAAGATTAAAATAAGAGTAAAAATAAAAGTTTATCCATGGATTGTTTATCCATGGTCCTGGCATTAGTGGTGACTGTTTATATTAAAAGAATTCATAAATACATGCATACATTCAGTCATACATTCATGTATTCATTCAACAAACAACAGGCATTGTGCTTGGCACTGAGAAGAGTCTGGAGTGATTTTAGGTTCTACCAAATTAAAACAAGACAGTGGCCATTGAGCTTCACATTATATGATAATGAAAATGGATATGGGAAGGGAAGTAAGCATGGAAGGTCCTATTTGTTCTGTTTTAATTTGGTCGCTAGCTACGTATACTTAATCAAGTAGATAATCAGGAAACACCTGTGTTCAGTGAATTAATAAAAATGTATGACACATACTTCTGATGAAACAAATGACCAATCTTGGAATCCACAGGTGCTACAAAAATAACCACAAATAACCAGGCAACTAGTCCCATCATCACTGGGAGTGCATGCTTTGAGTCAAACATGGATATTTATCACTCGAGTAGCTCTTAAAGGTGAAGTAATGCTTGTGGGTTTACTCATGAGCTCAAGGAATAAGGATTACTTAAAAACACTAAGTATTTAGGTGTGGGAAGTAAAATTAAAACACAAGATTTCAGTGAGAACTTCGACTTGATTTATCTAATGAAGAGAAATGTGCTATTTGGGCAGGTCTACACCTTCATGTGCATGTATGAAACCAGACAAGTTTGAGAATTTCTTTTGTCTTCGGAGTAATCAAGTAAAATAATATTCTATCACTAGAATGGCACTAATACTAACTCTTTGGAAAACAGTGTATTTTTTCTCCACTTGGGCAAAATATGAGTAAGTTAACTAAAATAAGCTGGAAAATATTCCTGACTCGTTCAAATGCAATCTGTGAGCTCCAAAAATAAATAAAGATTGCTCCTAAGAAGTCTAGAACATGATAGGATGCAAAGCAGTGGTAACAGATTAAGTACTCTGATGCTTCCAAACATCTGAATCAGCCTGTTCTGCCTGGTTAACATGAAAATAAGATGTGAGCAAAGATCTTAAATTGTAACTTTTCTCACAGGTCCTCAGATTGGAAATTTTAAAAATACAGTCGATGAAATTTAAGTACTGATCCTTGGCATGTGTGGGAGAGGGTCATTTACAAATGAAACATTTACAAATTAATATTTCATACTTGCTGATGGACGTCAGATGCACTTAATAGCACTGCTATTAAAGGAATAAAGATTATGCTTAATTATAAAATAAATATGTTCTGCTTAATCATACACATGCATAGGTACATACACATACAAAAGACTCATGCACATGCTGTCTCTCTCTCTCTCCTCCCAGCCCCTCACCAACGTCTTATCTAATCCTTAATAAAGAGGAATTCAAGCCCAAATGACAGTAGGTATAAAATTGATTACAAAGCAAAATTTTCAGGTGATGCAGGCTGGGAAGATGTAAATGTTTCGCAGGAATTATGATGTCACTTATGTTTCTGCCCAAAGGAGGGCCCCATTTCAGCTCAATCCCAATCAGGAAGTTATTCTTCACATCAAAGGAACATATTTTATACATGGCTGGGTAGAACACAGAGCATTTAGATGCTAGAGAGCTAGAGCAGAAGGGCCTTATATACTGAGATGAGCAAATTTCTGTGATGATAATTTCTTCCTGGAAAAGGATTTTATCACATGGCCCTGGAAGAGGAAAATACCATCTTCAAAATATTCTTAACAACAGACTTTGAGTAGATGCAAAAGCTGAGACTTGCAATTTTGTGGAAATAGTAATAAACTGACCCCAGCTGGAGAGTGAGAGCTCATGTGAACCTATACCAGCCTAGACAGCTGCAGTCAGCTGAACCTCAGCCTACCTCATATCTGTAAGAATAAATGCTTATGTTTTTTTACTTACTGAGATTTTTATGATTATTTGTTATGCAGCAGTAGCTAACTGATACAGAGAGAATAACTATCTTCAAGTATATGAAGACATTTTCTTTCTTTTCTGGAGATGAGAAAATGCTAGAAAAGATTCAGGTTAAAAATAAGAAAGATTAGTATTGTTAGTACCTTTACATGAGAGTTTCAATTGTGGGAAAGATAAATGCTGAAGCCTTAGCGTCTAGAAAGAACAAATGAAATGATCTTTCTTCCTTCATATGTATTGATTTCAGACATGAAGTCACAGATAAGTTTATAAAAATAGAAATGTCATTTGAAACTCTGCCAGTTTCTAAAAATAGATAAGAAATGTGTCCTTTACAATGAGCTACTCTACCACAATACAGAGGGTCAATCTAGTACTTTTGTTAAGACATATGGTTTATCCTGGTCCTCATTAACTTGAATCTAGTTTCTCAGAACAAATATTGTCTTAAGAAATGACAGAGAGGCTGGGCATGGTGGCTCACGCCTGTTATCCCAGCACTTTGGGAGGCCGAGGTGGGCAGATCATTTGAGGTCAGGAGTTTGAGACCAGCCTGGCCAACATAGCAAAAGCCCATCTCTACTAAAGATACAAAAATTAGCTGGGCTTGGCGGCGCACGTCTGTAATCCCAGCTACTGGGGATCGCGCCACTGCACTCCAGCTTGGACGACGGGGAGTGAAACTCCGTCTCAAAAAAGAAAAAAAGAAATTACAGAGAAACATCACAAAACTAAAATAATAAACTTTTCGTTAAACTAAACTTTTAGTTAAATTGAAAGATTTTACTTTTTCAAATTGTTTATTGATGACAACCAAGAATCTCTGGCAAATAAATTTGCTTATATTTGCAAATATAGAGCATATTTGTTAAGGCTTTTTCTAGAGTCAGATATAATAAATTCAGATCTCAGTTCTGACATGGATTAGTCATGGGGCCTTTGTAGGAAGTTGGTTTCTGAGTTCTGGTTGTCTATGAAGTAAGAAATTACGCATAATAAGTAGTTAACAAAGAGAAGCCACTCCACTATCATAATCAATGCCATCATCTTCATCATCATCATCACGATAATCAGAAGTTTAGGGGAAGAGGAGATAGAATCAAAGCTGTGCCTTAGAAGATGAATTTAGTAGGACTATGCAGAATGAATGGGACCAAATGAGCAAACTAGAAACACTAATAGTTTTATTTAGAATATTCCTATCTTTGTCATCACCCTCTTGAGATATCCCACACACCCACACACCCACACACATCAGAGGTGGAGTGGAAATCCTAACAGTAAAACACATGTAAGGCAAGGCTGGCACTTCTGCCTAAAGTACATAACAGCCAAAGATGCAGGCTGAAACATTCCCTATGCCCACTTTGCTCAGGAGCTCAGCATTGGCTAATGGACAGACAGACTCCAGGCTTGTGCCTAGAGCTCTCGCCCTCAGCACTCCCTTGTGATGCTCCCGCATGGTTTTTTTGCTGCCTACGCTCCTGGCCATCTGTTACAGTGGCATCACGCCAGCTTACAGGATAGCTTGCTGGCTTTGCCGAAGCCCAGAGGCCAAGGAAAGGGTTTAGACAAGAAGCCCTTACAAAACTCTCAGATGTGTCTGAAGAGAGCTCCAGGTTGCCTCTCCCTTTCCCCATACGCCAAGGCTGAGAGTGGTTTTCTGCTTCACAACATTTTATCTCACCTGTTGATTTAACTAGTTGGGTCTCCAATCTAAATCTTGAAATCTGGAGAGGAGAAAAACATGAACCATGTGTAGGTACCTGTGGCTGCCAAGCAGACAGGTGGTGTTATTGCCTGCTTCTTGGCAGGGCTAATGGGCAGCAGCAGGGTTTCCATCAATACTCCGCTAGAGCCTCCTCTAATTCCCCAGTGTTCTCCTTTGTTCCCCATGATTCCTCCCTCTGTTCGTCGGTCATTACACTATCTGTAAGATTTAGCAAAGATGTCTTTGCTTGACTTGTTTTCCAGCTCTTTGCTTACAAATTTATATGAAAAATATTAAAACCTATCCACATAAGTTATTCTTACAAGACATGAGAAAAGACATTTAAATACAACCGGTGTTTTAAACTAATGCTTTATGTGAGACTGAAGGATGTTTTATAATTACATTTAAAGTCATACACCACTGCAGCGAATAGAACCAAAGGAGGAAAAATCAATTGGAAATTAATACAATAAAAATATTCAACCTAATGACCAAGAACATTTTTAGTTCATATTCAATTATGGATTAGCTTTTTTTAAAAAAATAAGCTAGGCGCGGTAGCTCACACCTGTAATCCCAGCACTTCGGGAGGCCGAGGTGGGCGGATCACCTGAGGTCAGGAGTTCAAGACCAGCTTGGCCTACATGGTGAAACCCCGTCTCTAATAAAAATACAAAAATTAGCTGGGCATGGTGGCATGTGCTTGTAATCCCAGCTACTTGGGAGGCTGAGGCAGGAGAATCGCTTGAACCCAGGAGGTGGAGGTTGCAGTGAGCTGAGATCATACCACTGCACTCCAGCCTGGTGACAGAGCGAGACTCCATCTCAAAAAACAACAACAACAAATAAATACATAAATAACAGAAAATTCACTCAAATGTCTAGAGCATGTGGTAATAATAAGTACAACAAAAACACTTTGGATAGTCCTAATGATAGATATGTGCACCTATATTAGGAAGAAAGCCTAGAAATAACTGGAGTTTAAATCTTACCTGACGATAGAAGAATGTTGATTTTCTAGGCCAATATATACTCATTCATTCATTCAGCAACTAGGGACTGGGCATCTACCAGATGTCAGTCGCTGAACTAATGTTTAATAATAGGAAAGAAATCATTCAGAACATCTCCCATCAAGGATTTCATTATCTAATGTCACATGTGATTATGTGACCAAACATAAAGCAAAGAACAAATGCAGTGATTGGGATATAGACAGGTATTAAGAGAGCGCTTACTCCATCCCAGAGGGACTTAGAAAAAACTTCCTGGAGAAGATGAAAGACAGTTTTTGTTAAAAATTTGAATACATAAGGCACAAGAAGAACTAGATATCACTTGTCTTTACTTAACAGGTTGAATAATTCTGCACTGTTCACTATTCAAATGTTGCAAAATCTCTGGGTCAGATTAAAAAAGAATCTATGAAAAGGGAATAATTCTTGTTCTCTGTCACCAGAGTGGATGTAAAAACCAACAAAGATAAAGGATGTGAAAATACTTAGGAAAGTGTACAGCATTGTATAACTGAACGTTATGATTATCATTTTACCTCTGGTATTCTTTTTTATCTACCTGCAAATCAAAACACAAACACAAAAACCAACAGAAAAACCTGCAATAAATGTGCAGAGTGTTCTTTGCTTATCCATTTCAGAGGTGTAGTTTTCTAAAGATTATGAAATCATAGCCCCAGTAGAGGCTTTGCAGGAGGAAGGGTCTCTGGTTGTCCATTTCCCTGACTTCAGAGGAAGGACAGAGCCCCACACAGTGGCCAACCTCTCCCATTTATCCCAACACCGGCAAGGCTATTTTCCTCTCCAGAAACCTCCTCCTTGCCAGAATGCATCATTGTTCACATTAAGAGTGGGATATACAGGCCGGGCGCGGTGGCTCACGCCTGTAATCCCAGCACTTTGGGAGACCGACGCGGGTGGATCACGAGGTCAGGAAATCGAGACCATCCTGGCTAACACGGTGAAACCCCGTCTCTACTAAACAAAATACAAAAAATTAGACTGGTGGCGGGCGCCTGTAGTCCCAGCTACTCAGGAGGCTGAGTCAGGACAATGGCGTGAACCCGGGAGGCGGAGCTTGCAGTGAGCCGAGATCACGCCACTGCACTCCAGCCTGGGTGACAGAGCAAGGCTCCGTCTCAGAAAAAAAAAAAAAAAGAGTGGGATATACAATACAGGAAAAGTTGCAGATGCTGACTATTGCTCTGGCTTCTCAGGAAACAACAAACAAGACTAAGTTTCAAGTTCTTGAATGCAGATGATTATGGTTGATACGCTTTCTTCTAAGTAACTCAAGTTGCCTCCTGACACTCAGTTTAGAGTCAAAGAATGAGCCTTTTGAAAATATGTCTAGTCCCTCTATGAGTAAAAGTCACTCAGAGGTTTACAGTGGGTAACTGAGAGGAAATGGACAAAATAGAAAACAGCCGTAATATTGTATAGTATATTGCTACTGGCCACAGGGGCAGAAGATTTAAATTCCAGACCCAACCTAGTCACTGCTTTGCTGTGAAAACATCTATTTATAAAACATTCGATGGGAACTTCATTTCTTCATCTATTACATAAAGGGAATAGACCAAGGAATTCCCAGGCTTCCTTCCAGTTCTGGATTCTAAATCTTGAACCAAGAAATTCCATCCACAAGCTCCACCCATAGGAGTCATGGTTTCTCCTACTAGTCTCATTGACCCATGAGGGCTTTCTAATGCTTACGAGAAGCCCATAAAGGACTATAAATCTCTATGAATAATATGACAGATTTTCAATTTCTGTCATTTATAAACTTGTAATTAACTCTCATCGATAAGGATCTTATTTAAAGATTATCGCCTCTTATTTAAAGCGGTGAAATGATTAACTTTCCTAAAATGTTTGATTTTTTTGCTTCCTTCAATTACTGCCCAGTACTATTGGTATTAATTTTTCAGAAACAAAATAAACATGGCACTTTTCTTTTTTGGAGTGTCCAAGAAGACTGAAGTTCTTGGATTCTATCTGAGTCAACATTTAGGATTAGCTATTTCCCAGAAGGTGGGAGGGGGGGTGATATTTTAACATCTAAGTATTTGAAACAAAAAAATAAGTGAGTTGATTCACATAGACGTATATATCATTCGCAAACATGTACATATATTTTCCCTGATGCACGATCTCAGTAAAATATCACAGAGAAAAAATGTCAGACATACATAGCATAGCAATCAAGGGCTAATGAAGATCCAGGTATTAAATCAATTAAGAAGTATCAAAAGCTACCTAATCATCAAGGAACAAAATTGGCACCACAATATGTAGTGAGTATGGGAAAGCCTAATTTACTAAACATACCCTGCAGTCACATAATTGCATGTAATTTTACCAGCATAATTAACTAATTTAATTACCACTTCTCAAGTGCATCAATTATTGACATTACAGAGTTTTCAGACAGCAGAATTACTGTGTGGTACATCCAGAGAATGCAAAATGCTTTGTACGCCTATTTTCCCAGTCACAGTCAACTACTGAAGAGGAATGTGAAGTCGGAGGTGGAAATAAGTCCTATCCTGGAAGACTCAGTTGGAGGGCAGGTTTAAAGATGGAATGACTCAAATGTGTCTGGCAGGAGGCAGAGAAGGGGAGGAAGTCCCAAGACTACGCTCTTCAAAGCAGTTCTTTGCAAGGGTGCAGACAAAATATGCAAAGCTCAGTCAGAAAAAGTAATAGAAGGCCCTAATTTAATAAAAAAAAAAAACACCAAAACTACACAACAGCAATTCAAAATGTCCCTAAGAATACTTTCATGAAGAAAAGGAAATAAAAGAAACAGAAGTTTGAAGCAACACTTTAGGAAAAAACAGAAGCTTGCTCTTGAGAGTAAGGTTTTTCTATTTTATATCTTTTTTCTTTAGTAACTGTTGCTCAAACATTTAATATAGGGGATCTTCCTGGAAAACTGCTTGAGCTTATCAAGTCAGAGAGAATGTCATTTCATGGTGGTTTTCTAAAAAGTTGGTGGCAGTATCTATCGAGAAATTTCATCATGCCATGAAAGTTGTGATCGTGAATGGCTGGAAGTTCTAAGAGCTATGGCATGGTTTTCTGTTTCTTTTCACATTGCCCTCCTGTACCTGACCTTTGTACAGCTGCTTCATAGTGTGTGGAGGTGGCTGAACTTTGAAATAATGTTCACATTAGCAAGGCATTTTAATGAGACAATTGAATATGGAGTAAAGGATGTGAGACTAACATGTCTTTCTTACCTTTTGAGCCCTTGAATATCTACATTGTCTTCAGATTTAAATCAAGATTTTTTAAGTCCATTATTAACTCTGGAAAAAAGAAAGTATTTCTTACTTCCATCTTTAAGGGTTTACCTATTGTATTAATTTTAAATGACTTAGTCAGAAAATTCAGAGATTCAGTCAAAGAAAAGAAAATTGGGCCAGTGTAGTGACTCATGCCTGTAATCCCAGCATTTTGGGAGGCTGAAGCAAAAGGCTTCCTTGAGCCCAGCAGTTCAAGGAACTGGGTGACACAGGGAGATCCCATCTCTACAAAAAATTTAAAATATTGCCAGGCCTGGTGGCATGCACCTGTGGTCCCAGCTACGCAGGAGGCTGAGGAGGGAGGATCATTTGAGCCAGAAGGTTGAGGCTGCAGTGGGCTGTGATCATGCCACTGCACTTCGGCCTGGGCAACAGAGCCAGACTCTGTCTCAAAAAAGAAAAGAAAAATATGTTTTCACTCATGGTTGGAAATGCAGTTATATTTTAAAGACCTGACCCATATATTGAGAGAAACTTTCAAAGCTTGGGAATAAGTGGTTGCGAAGGAATCAGGCTGGGTTTCCCAAAAAGATAATTTCTGTGAATCATGTTTATTTACCTTATATAATAAACTTGTTGAAACTGAAAGTTGGTGACCTAGAATTATTACTTCCTCCTTGGCATGTGTCATTAAGAAGGGTAAAGTTTTCAATTGCATGAAGTTCCCTTCATCCCCACCACCTATGCTATATTTTTTTCATGCCACTTCTTCCTCCCTCACCACCTCTGAATGTCATAGAGCTCTTTTTCATCTTCTCTTACCTTCTACTGTAAATTGGCTTAAATTTAAGTCAACGTATTATCTCTCCTAGGGGTATTTAATGTAATCTTCCTCCAAAATTTTATATGTAAAATTTAGGCCTTTAGAAACAATTATGACTTTTTAATACTATTTCTAGTATTAATAATCAAGTGAGAAAAAGTAATTTGGGGGGTGACACGGGATAGGTGGCGAGACAAACTTCACTGCCCACCTGACACTTTATCAGATTAGTAATTCTCTTCTTCTTCTGAAAAAGGTTTTTTCTAGTCTTGGGACACACCCCTGCGAATCAAACTTACTGATCTTCTTCAGTCCTGATCCAGTTCTCTATTAAATGTATTAACACAGCCCACAAAAGAGCCAATAGGCCCAGTGCAGTGGCTCACGCCTGTAATCCCAGCACTTTGGGAGGCCAAGGCGGATGCATCATTTGAGGTCAGGAGTTCGAGACCAGCCTGGCCCACATGGTGAAACCCTGTCTTTACTAAAAATACAAAAAAGTTGGCCAGGCATGGTGGCACATCCCTGTAGTCCCAGCTACTCAGGAAGCTGAGGCAGGAGAATTGCTTGAACCCAGGAGGTGGAGGTTGCAGTGAGCGAAGATCATGCCACTGCACTTCAGCCTGGATGACAGAGTGAGACTCTGTCTCAAAAAAAAAAAAAAAAAAAAAAAGGAGTCAATAAAATGTGTTCTGCATGAAAAACAGCCTTTCTACATCAGGAGTGACTGTTTTGAGAAGTGTATTAGCTTAAGTATAGTCCTCTATACTTTTTTCCTCTAGAGAAAAACTCTACTAATTGGGCTTAAATTAACTTCAGTCCTCAGTTCACCCAAAATATTGGTATTTTCTCCTCACTTCCTATTATCCTTACCCACTGTACTTTACTTTCTGTACCATGGATCTCTGTGCACAATGGTTCAAGAAGACTAGTATAAAGGAAAAAGAGGCCACTCTAGTCAGCTGGTGCTAACATAATTCAATTTGACCATAAATGCCCCTCCCCATCATTAAGGAGAAGATATGGACCATATGGAAAGAAGCAATGGGTCCTTGGAGAAAGCAAATACATATAAGGCATATTTCCTTCTAGTGGCATTCATAATCTGGCCAGATCTTCAGACTAGTACATACATTAGAACAATGCAAAAATAAGTCATGTGTTTTCACAGCTCAGTGGGAGAGAAAACTTCTAGAAAGGGTGCTCTGGAAAGTCTTCATGGAAGACATAATATTTTAAATAAACCTCAAAGGAAAGATAGAACTTAACACAGAGAGGTAAGAGAAAAGAGGAGAACCAGCAAAGGGCATATCTTGATCAAACACACAGAGATAAAAAGCTTATGAGGGATGGTCAGTATTCACAGTATTCATGAACCACAAGGGCACATACAAAATCAGGAAGGAAGTAGGGATGAAAGGAAGGAAATATTTAGGGGAGTGAGGTCCCAGAGCTCTAGTTTCAGTCCTACTACTATCTAGTCATAAGACCCAGAAAAGTCACTTCACCTTTGCAGACGTAAATTGAACAGGTTTAACTGGGTGATCCCTATGGACCTGCCCAAATCTCCATAAATCTTGGGAGTTGAATGTTAAGTTTGCCATTTTACAAACTTACAAATCTTTCTTTTCTCTTTTCTTCTTTGACACGTGTTGATGGTTTTCTCCATGCCTACTACACTCTCTAATTTTGTCTCCCATGCTGAGCCCATTTATCTTAAAACAATCAGATACACAATACAGCTCCTGGCCACATATTGGAGGTGGAATTATAGGGCTTTGTATTAGGCAGGTGATATGGTTTGGCTCTGTATCCCCACCCAAATCTCATCTCAAATTGTAATCCCATGTGTCAAGGGAGGAACCTCATGGGAAGTGATTGGCATGGGGGCAGTTTCCCCATGTTGTTCTTTGATAATGAGTGAGTTCTCACGAGATCTGATGGTTTAAAAGTGTTTTGACAGCTGCCCCCTTGCTTGCTTTCTCTCTCCTGCTGCCATGTAAGACGTGCCTTGCTTCCCCTTTGTCTTCCACCATGATTGTAAGTTTCCTGAAGTCTCCCTAGCCATGTGGAACTGTGAGTCAATTAAACCTCTTTTCTTTATAAATTAGCAAGTCTTGGGCAGTGCTTTAGAGCAATGTGAGAATGGATGAATACAGAATTCTCCAAAGGGACAGAACCAAGAGGACTATATATATATGTGTGTGTATTATCTCTGATAAACTCATAAATATATATATATATATACACACACATACACACATATATACACATAAACACATATATACACACATATACATATACATACACACATATATATATACATATATATATATATATATATATCCTTTTCCTCCAGACCATCCTGGGTTGGGTTAAACTAATATATATATATATGAGTTCATCAGAGAGAATTAGCTTACACGATTACAAGGCAAAGTCCCACAATAGGCTGTCTGCAATCTGGGGAAAGAGAGAAGCCAGTAGTGTGGCTCAGTCCAAATCCAAAAGCCTCAAAACCAGCAAAGCCAACAATCCAAAGTCTGAGTCCAAAGGCCTAAGAGCCCCTGGGAGGCTGCTGGTGGAAGTTCCAGAGTCCAAAGGCTGAAGAACCTGGAATCTGATGTCCAAGGGCAGGAGAGGAAGCCAAGTATCCAGCACAGCATGACAAAGACAGAGAGAGCTAGCTCAGCAAGAGAGCTACTTATCCCCCTTCTTCCACCTGCTTTGTTCTCCTCTGGCAGCAGCCTCACAGATATACCCAGGAACAATGCTTCACCAGCCACTGAGGTAATCTTAACCCAGTCAAGTTCACAATCTTAACCAACACAGGCTCCCTGCAGAGGATATCCAAATAACAGTCAGGTGCATCAAGGATGCCTGTAGATTGTTTTGGTCATCTAGCTCCTTTCTTTTCCATCAACAGTTTTCAAAGTGGTCTGTCTACTTGGCCTCTATGCTCTCAAACTATAGTATCATTTCTTATACTCAGAACTGGTTTCTGCCATCACACATTTTACTGAAACGTTATTTTCAAAGATTATTGGTGACCTCCTAATCACCATTCTATGATAATTCTCTACAGAATTTTATATTGCTGACTTATGGATACAGGAAAGTGGCATTCATGGCCCAGAGCCATAATCACTTCCATATTTAGGAAGTTGATTTGGGGGATGGTCAGGACAAAGTGGAGAATGGTGAGTTTCCGGGACCGATAAATACTACAGATCAACTCAGCATCCTCCAGAAACACTGAGAGGATTTTTCCTCCTAACACTAAATAAGTAGCATCTTTTCCAACATCAATCAATTTGTTGGTTATTCCATACCACATGGTGGCCAGCAATTCAATTCAATTCAATTCAATTCAATTCAATTCAATTCAATTCAATTCAAAATGGGTCAAGGCTCAGTCCTACAAGACTGCCCCACGTAAGATGTCAGCCACAACGGGGTGTTCATGAGATAGGTAGGATGGTTGCTTCCTTATTTTAAAGTAGGGAATAAGATGGTCTGGAGGACCATCTGAAGGATTGCTGGGTCAAATGGTATTTCTGGTTCTAAATCTTTGAGGAATCGCCACACTGTGTTCCACAATGGTTGAACTAATTTACACTCCCAGTGTAAAAGCATTCCTATTTCTTCACAACCTCACCAGTATATGTTCTTTCTTGACCTTTTAAAAATTGCCATTCTGACTGGTGTGAGATGGTATCTCATTGTGGTTTTGATTTGCATTTCTCTAATGATAAGTGATGGTAAGCTTTTTTTTCCATATGTTCGTGGGCTGCATACATGTCTTCTTTTGAAAAATGTCTGTTCATATCCTTTTCATGCTTTTTAATGGGGTTGTTTTTTCTTGTAAATTTGTTTTAAGTTCCTTCTTAGCCTAGCCTTTAAGAGCTTGCACAGTCTTAGCCTTGCTAAATGTTTCAGATGTTTTTTCTTTTCCCCTATACATGTAACCCTCACTCCAGTTATATTGCTCTATCTGTTCTGGTGTATTGGAGATGCTAGTAGACCTGAAATTGAAAGACCAGAGTTCAAGTCCAACCTCAGCCACCTGATTTTTATGGGACTTAGAAAACCCACTTATCTCCCTGAGAATATTTCATAGGAATAATAAATACCATCATCTAAAGGTTGTCTTGATTAAAAAATTAAATAAAAAAACAAAAAAAAGTTTAACAAATCCCACCATACTATACATGCTAAAGTATTTATTAGTTACTATTGAATCAGGAAACAGAAACTGTGTCCCACTTACTACTTTATTTCTGGCCCCAGACATAATGCCTAACACATAGGCCATCAATAAATATTAACTGAGATAATGCACAAATGAATGATATTATAATTGGCTTTGCTGTTTCCTGAGATTTGTGAAGAACTTTTTCTGACACCATAACTTACTTCCTCTGACTCTTATGCCTTTATGAGCTGTAAAATTTTAGCTACATTTTTATGTGAGTCTGACTTGTCTTCTCAGCCAGACCTTAGTTGAATTGAGGAGAGAGATTTTATTATATCTCTTTGTATTCTTGCATAGTATCTATCATCTTGGCAATAATTTTACATCTTTTAGCAATAATATAAAACATTGACATTATTCCTAATACAATTATTTAAATTATCAAGAACGTGTATGTGTGTGTGTGTGTGTGTGTGTGTACATAACAGATCTAACTAGGCCAGAGAGCTAGAATCACTTCTGAATTAACCGGACTCTGAAATCAAACATCTCACCCTTATTAGCAGGTGTTTCCAAATTTAGTGTCTCTCTCTGCTACTAATTTGGGGAAAATACCTTCCATTACACACCTTCATTGCACCAACCAAAATGTTATCTAAGATGTCATCCTTGGACAAATATGTTTTTCATCAAAATTTTCTACTTGACATGTGTTTCATTTCATTTCTTTTCATTCCTAAATATACAAAATATTTAATTTTATAGAAACATGAGTACCTCTTATGCATATGACCTTAGACTTTTTGTTTGCTTGTTTAAAAATAAGTCTATTTGAAAGGGATAATTGACAGAACATTCGAATAATTTTTTGGAGCTTTATGGCAATGAGAAGAAGGAAAAGTTCTCTGGGCTTGAGGAATAAGAGTAACAACCATCAGTATCTCATCTCACAAATTGAAATTTTAATTCATGCAACTGACTTCTTCACTTTAGCTTTTTACCATCAACATAAGGGATCTTCCAGTAGAATCTGAACAATTTACATCACGTGTCATTGTAACAGCTTTTCATTTTGTTGCAGTTGAGGCTGGTAGAAGCCTAAGAGTTAATTTTAATAAGACTAATCAGCCAATCTTGACAATAGAAGGGAAGGAACAGGGACAGGTAGATGACTGTATGTTTTGACATTGGACCATTAACATGCAAATCATATGCAAAATCATATGCTAACAACTTTGCGCCTTTGTTTGTGGTTGGACACTTTTTTCCCCCAAATGGACTACAGCCCTGATTCAATCCTACACAGAAAGGCACTTAGCAAGGCATCTGATATGCACAAGAAAAATATAAAATGTTTTCTGAGTGCTTGTTTTGACCTCTTTGGAAGAGTGGAATTCCTTTAAATTTGACTTTATTGCCTGCTCATTGGAAGGGAGCACCGAAGCATGGCAGGGAACAGAAGCCCATGTAATGCCCATACCCACCACACACAGTAAATAACAGTAGTGAGAATGCAGGCCAGCCAGCACAGGCAGCGTCCTTCACATCATCCAGAGGCCACGGCAGAGCTCCCAGGGACAAGCAGCATTAATTATAGACTAATGATTCCATTTGCATGCACATTTTTAAAAACAGTAGTGAATGTAGTCCTAATAATTGAGGATGAGTGAGATGAGGCCGCATTAAAATGCTCTACTGAGTCTCTTATCTCATTTTTTAAAAAGACCTCTGTCACCTTGGTCCTCCTTGGTACACATTAATATTGGGTAACCATGCGGTATGGAACATTATGCTGGTTCTTTATAGATTCAATCACTTCATCAACCTGTTTCTGAAGTGTTTCCCTTCTCTACAACCTCTTATAATCATAAACTCAAGATACTGGTGGGGGATAAAAAAATACATCATAATTTTGGATGTAAGTGGGAAGACAAAATGAAATACAAGAAATTTTGAAGTAGGTAGGAAGAGAAAGATTACACAATTAAATAGTAAGTCAGACATTTTGTATGTATATTGGGAGTTTGTTCTGGTACAATCAAGTACCAGTTTACATAGTTCAGGCAACCATGCAGCAGGAGGACATGAGGGGAAAAATCAATTTAGCAGAATAACTCATCTCTAGCCTTAAAGTCATGGAGGCTCTTCAGACCATTATGGACTCAAAAGTATACCTTGTGCCCTCAGAAGAGTACATCAGCCAAACCAAGAGCTAAGACTTGCAGCTTATGAGGGCCAGAGGCCAGGGATGCCCTCAGCTGGACTTTGTCTCCATAGGCTTTCTCCAGCCATTGCCAGAAGAGCTGCTGGTCATCCAGAAACACAAATCACTTTTTATGCAGAGTGATTTGTGTTCTGAATTTAGAATAGTCAAGCAGATGGCAACTCAAGGAGATCTGTGTTTCCTCTTAAAGTTTCTTCTTTTTAAAAACTGATTTGCATAAGACTTGTTATATACACTCTTTGTTGTTTTTTGTTTTTGTTTTTTTCATTTCATTCATACTCAGATTTTGGGACAGAAGCATATGAAACAAACTTAAGTATTGGTTCTAAGCCCATGTGGGTGGCATCTCTCACTTTGACTTCCTAGTCCCCACAACTTCTTGACAGTACAATTTTTTTTTAATTTTTCTCACATGGAATAAAGATAAATTTCATTTAGCAAAAGAAAAAAATGACAACTCCTCATTCTCCTCATAACAATTCTCAATATATTCATGTTCTCCCAATATGAGGAACATTGAAAACTGAACCGTGGCACTTTAAATATTTAAAATCTACAATTTCAATAAGGCCTCTTCATAAAAGTCATGGCATAAGGAATGAAGACCTTTGATGGGCTAGAGTTTGTATAGGATGTGCTAAATAAATGCCTGATGTCACATTGATAGTCCAAACTCATGGTTAAAACAAGGCTCGGGTGATCAAAAATCAAAGGTCCTTATAGAGAGGCCCTAAGAAAGTAAAGTTCATAGAATATTTACAACCGAGGAACACTATCAAGATCATCTCTTCCTATGTCCACATTTTGGAGATGAAAAAACTGGCACCCAGAGGTTATTGCGTGTCACTGATCACCAGGCTTGTTAGTAACAGAACTACAATTAAAACACAAGTCATCTGGCATGCATCCTAGAGTTTGAGGTGGTTTTTTCACTCCCGTGTGTGATGGGTTATAATAAAACTTTTCACAAGAAAATAGAGCTGGGAAAGTTTGTGTCTCTTCATTGTTTCACAGTATGAACATGGTATGGGCAATTCTCACAAACTTCCAGGTATGTTTGTCCATTCATAGGAGATAAGCATTAGAACCTCCCCTTAGAAGGATCTTTTAGCCTTATTATTATTAATTATATCAATGTTAACTTTTTATATTGCTATAGATTTTTCCCTTTCAAAGTAGTTTTATAAGCTTCATTCATTCACTCAATTACTGTTTCTTAAGTACTGTACAATCAGTTGTCTTTTATCTACATTATTTTATTTAATTATTAGTTTGTTTTACAGGCTGAAAGAGAGAAAGTAACCTGTCTCAGGTTATTGTTACTGGTCAGCGTCAGAATCATGTATCAAACACTGGTCTCTCTGACTCCAAAGCCCAAGTTCTTACAGATGATTTATTCACTCATTCATTCATTCATTCATTCAACAAATATGCATGAAGTCCTACCATTGGTAAGCACTCTCTAGACATCAGTTTAAAGGTATGAACAAGATGGACTGAGTTCCTGTCCTCAAGGAGCTTACTTTCTAGGGGGAAAACAGCTATAAGCAAGCAAATTTATAAATAAATGACACAATTTCTGATAAATGCCAAGAAGAAAAGCTAAGGGAAAAAGGGGGGATGGAGTGGTATTTGGGAACATACTTTAAATAGAGAGGGAAGGGAAGGACACTCTCAGCAAATGATATCTAGGCAGAACCTCTATGATAAGAAAGAGTGAGCTACAGAAATCTCTAATGAAATGAAGACTTAGAAAATTAAGCCAAATCACAGAAAAATAAAATCACCCTCCCTGAAGTCACACAGCACTAAGTGGCAGAGTGGGAATCAAAGACGAGGCTCCCACTCCTGCTTTCTTTCCACTACTCCACACACGGTTTTCTGCAGCTCAACCTTAAACCAATCAGTTGTGTCATTTTATTTTTCTTATATTCTCCCTAAGTATTTCAAAAAATTTTTTCACACAGAGACAAACAAGGGAAAGATACGTCTTCCCTTTGCCTGGTAGTTAACCAATAAATTCACTAAACACCTTCTAAGAAGCAGTTCTCAGAGGATATCAGACATAAGAATTCTTCACTTTTACTAAAGGCAGAGGGGAACAAACATTCTCATAGTTGGTGTGTCTTCTTGAATAATATTTCTTCCTACTGATATGACTAGGAGTGGTTTCTATAATACACTTGTGTCTATTTTATTTATTTTTGAATTTGTACTAAGTCTTATTTGTTCCCCACTAGCCAAAATTGGAAGAAAATCCAATATGAGGACAATTACAGGGATTGGCCCCTACTGTGCTGGGATTATCTGAAAACCCTGGGCTGGCACAGTCCAAGAGTCCTGGGAGAGAGGCCTCTGGCTTTCTATCCTTGGTAGTCTCCCCAAGCAATGCTCATTGTCCAAGCTCACATGGCACTCAGATAGGTGGAATGGCTCTAGCGGCAGTGTCCATGCTTTCCAAGTCAAAGTCAGCAGCCGGGATCCTCACTGTCACTCCCAAGGCCACACATGTGATGATTGATCTCCAGGCATTCCCATGGAATGGAAACCTGCTACCTACAGAGGAAATCCATGGGAATAGATGCCATTTGCCACCTACACAGCACATTGCCTTCTACCTTCCAAGTGCTGGGGACTCCAGCCCTCTTTCTTACTTTGGCGCCTGTCTGTCTCTTACCTTCTTCTCTCTGAGACAATCTGGATGATGTATAACCAGAAAGATTATCTCCTCCCTCCCCATTCCTTCTCAAACTTAGACTTCATAAAACTCACTTGGAAAATTTATCAAAACACAGGTTGCTGGTCCACACCTCAGAGATTCTGAATCAGTAGACCTGAGATAGGGCCTAAGAACTGACATTTCTAGCAAGCCTTTAGGAGATGCTGCTGCTGCTGGTTCCTGGACCAGGCTTTGAGTAGCTCTTCTTATGTTATTCTTGCTTAAAGGGGAGAAAAAATTACCTTTTTTATTCTTTTTGCGAAGTATAGGGCAGCAAAAAGACAGGACCCTAATTAATTTTTCAATAACTCACACCGTTACACTAGCAAAGACAGGAGAGGGAGAAATTAACAAAGGATATTTTATTCTCTGAAACACAGGTGTGGAATGCTTTTCTGAGGGGGACTTCGCTGGCAGGACCTCTTAACCACTGCTGCCACCCCTCACCAGAGCTTGGCTCATAAACCCACTCTCAGGTAGACCAGCTGCAAGGGGAACAGCTGGGTAATTTCTCCTAGGCAAGTCTAGGCATTTCCTTTTCACTACCAATTAGCTAGCCACACTAGACTGCTCAGCCGCCCCAGCCCAGAATGCAATCCACACAAATACTCATTGTGTGGTAGATAGTGTCTCTGGCAGCATCAAGAATTTCATACTAAAAGTTCAGGGGGAGGTGAGAGGGGAAAAAATTAAAAAATATACACGTGTGATACATTTCAAAAACCAAGAACTTTATCTCTTGCTACCATTATTTTTCCACACTTTTGATTTCTACACTACATGATAATCTTGTGAACAGTCAGCCTCTGCCTTCTATTATAATATCCCACTAAGGCTATCTTCTTTCACCTTGGTGTTTTGCTGGCTTTGGCAGAGGAGTAGCCTGGACTCTTAGAGGAGAACATTTATACCTTATATCTCCTTTCATAGTCTACACATTTACCCAACCTCATTCTAAAGAATGGCCCCTGGATTCTGCAAGAAATGCTATACATGTGCACCACTGTGCAAAGAATCAAAGAACTCAGGCAGAGAGTGTATAATATTGTGTGGAAAGTTTTGCTTCCCCATGATATATCTGTGCTTTCATAACAAAGCTGGGCAAACCAGAATGAAGAGTGTGTTCTGGAGGCACTTTTAATAAGCCACCTCTAAATCAGGTCTGTCTCAATTAGCTGTTTTCTCTAAGGTAAAGTAATCTTGAGTTGCTTGTGGGATCCTAAGGTACACTCTGGATATGTAAAGAAGCAGCCTGGTAAAAGTTAGCCCAATGCCTGTGTCAGGGCGCATGCCACAGTTCCGACAGGATGCCTTCGATATTGCCAGAGAGCCTTTAATGGGGCAGGAGGAAGACGGAGAAAGATCCCCGCCAACAACACTGTTCATATAGAGCAACTTGATGTTGTTATGGCAGCGCAGTTCTCAAATTCAATCTCATCATGGACACAACCAGGAAAGAGAAAAGAGAACTGCATTTTTCCTACCCTGAGGCTACGCTCAATTTAGGTATCCTGTCAGGAAAATTTTGCCTTTTCCCTTTTTCAGCAGCCTGTAATATGAGAGCACCAGACATCACAATGCATCATTCATTCATTCATTCATTATTCGACCTTTCTCTCGCACATTCTCTCTTTAAGTCAGGACCCATCAAGGCGACAGTGAAATTCTTGATGGGAAGGGTTTGCTGAGGAGCCCCAAGGTAACTCAATTTCCCTCAACAACCAGGAGGAAACAGGGTGATTATTGATTCAAGAGAAAACAGAATATTTGTGGATTTAGGGTCAATAAAACAACCTCCACAAATGTTAAAGTAAACAAGGAAAAATATAGCTTTAAAAAATGGACAACTAGGAGAATTTCTTTTCACATAGCAATGCAATTTTCTCCTCACAGTGATAGTCATAATTTCATACCCTTTCTGTATGTGAGAAGAGAGAGCTGGGCATTTTAGCCATCTATTTGCTAATTAATATTCCAACCGAAAATGCTGTGCTATAGATATTGGAAATCAAGTTTCCCACAGGACTGTCACATTGTGTTTAACCCAAAGCAATGATGTTTCTGCTTACGGCTCTGAAGGTTTCATGACTGTCTGCTGTGTCTTCATTCTCCTTTGGAACTTCTCCAGTTTCCCCAGAAACACAGGTGGTCTTTTGAATAAACAGAACTAACATATTGAGCTCCATAAGCTCTATGATGATATGCATTTCTCTCATTCACAGCTGTTGCTTGCACAGTTGGAATAATGTGCAACTATGAGGCGGCTACTTAGTGAACTGGAGGTTCCTATTTAGAGTGTGAATTCTTAGAAAGGCATCTTCAGGTAAAGAAGAAACAGAAAATAACAAGTGATGCTCCACAGGGATCTGTACACTTTTCATTATCTGTGCAAGGGAAATGAAAACATGTGTTTAGGAATCCATTGAAGAAGTTGATGGTATTCATCCTATTTCAGAGGAATCCCACGCCAAGAGGATTTCTTTCCATCATAAAAATAATTGGTACAGAAGGCCCTGATCAATCATGCTCTATACTTCTGGCATTTAATAGAACTCAAATGTTAGCTGTAATAAAATATTTTGCCATCTCTCATTCATCTAAGACTAAAAAAATGTGAGGCATTCATAGAATTATTTTATAAAGTCCATTTTACAATGATGTCACTGTCAGTGTTCAAGGGTTTAAACAACATAAGCAGAATCAACAACCAAGCAAAGACAATTATGTTTATACCACAAAGTTGTGACATCTCTCTCAGTGTAGCAATCTAGAAATGTTCTTAGCTATAATTCCTCTTTGGATATAAAGTTAATTATGAAGTTTTTCAATAGCTTTACTAGTTAAACTGCACATCATATTCGCAGCTACCAAAGGAAAGGTATTAGCAGATGAAACGATGTCACTATATGCCTAAAAGGTAAAAGAAAATTTCTAATTTAAAAAAACTATTGATAATACACGAATATATTTTATACCAGAAGTTTGAAAATGACATGTGAAATTTAAACTGAACTTTCCATTTAGGATGGCAGAATAAGCATGAAATGAAATCTCATCCTTTTTCACTAAACTCAAAGAAATTATAGAAAATAGATAGAGTAACCTAATTAATACATATTTGTGTTTGAAAACCAAAGAAGAATATCTCCATAGATTAGAAAGACACATTTCAAAATAGGAAAAAACAGAAAACTAAAGTGATAAAAGAGGCGAATGGTTTAAAAATATTATACTGCTGTGTGTGTGTGTGTGTGTGTGTGTGTGTGTGTAGTGTGCATATCTGCAACCTTATGAAACATACCATCTAGTTGTTTACACCCTAAGGATCATTTAAAACTTGAACTTTAAGTTGTCAAGATTTGAGTTGGTGCTGCTACAAGATGGTCTCCTAAGGAGATCATCATAATCCATAATGAACAAGGAAAAGCTCTTTCTTAGGAAATGAAAACAGAGCTGCAAGACACCAAGCAACTAGAAATCTAACACTTGAAGGAGGCAAAACAAGATCCATGTATGGAACCATTTAAACTTGAAGGAATAGAAATAATGGAATAATCTGAAAAGGGTTTTTAAAAACATGTATGTTCACTATCCAGGGAGATAATAACTAAAGATGGAAATAGTTTTTTGTTTTTTACAGAATGTAGAAAATATTGCTATTGAGCAATGCCTGACATATATTAAGCAGTCTATGAATGTTAGCCATTATTTCCTTTCACTACAATATTGAATCTATAAAGGCAGAGAATTTTGTCTGTTTTATTAAATGCTATATTCTACATCATCTAGAAGAATTTCTTATACAAAGTGAAAATTGAACAATTAATTTTTAGGGAAAAGAATAAATTTGGTGTTTATATGTTAAAAATACATTAAATTATTAAATAAGAGTAGTGGTTGTGAAACAAGAATAGGTTTATATAAAAATGATTAGATAACATAATTATGAGCAGAATAATTATTGAAATAAAAAATATGACATTCAGAATGTATCATTAAACATAATTGCTCTGAGAGACTCACCTTCTTATAATAACTAGACCCTGGGAAAAAAAAAAAAAAACTTACTCTTGGAGGTATTGTTGATATTACAAAAGAAAGGAGAGTTCTCCAAAAAAGCTCTCAAAGAAATAAACATGAGCACAGTCAGGAATACAGGGCTAGGGTTTCTGAAGCTAACATCTGAGATGGGAGAGCTCAGGAATCCGTTTAGGAATACACAGTAAAAGTAGGCTAGGCTAGGCACGACTCAAGGCCACAGAGTTGAGAAGCTGAGCTGGGGCAGAAGAGACTTATAGCATTGGGAGCTGGAGAGAAACTAATATAATGGAAATCTATACTATGTAAATCTGCAGAAAGACAGAGATAAAATGTTCTGAAATTTGAGTATTGTTTAAGATGTAAAGGTATTAATATTAGATTTTGTGATATTAACTATGCCTGATGAAAGTTCAATGGTAACTAATAAGAGATTAAAAGGAGAGTATATAAATTTGAGTGAGAAAAAAAGTTAAGTAGATCAAGCAGAACAAAAATATTCAGTACAAAAATAGTAAAAAAGGAAAAAAAAATGGGATAAATATAACTTAATTTTAAAAAGACTCCTAAAGCAATAATCAGGATAACCAAATGGACTAAACTCATAGGTTTGAGAAAAAAGAGAGTCACATTGGATTTAATAAATATGTTAGTCCTGAAGGACTTACCATGATTAAGAACAAGTAATCAACTCACAAACAAAATTAGCAAAATTACTGCTATTAGCATCAGTATGCATAAATAAGAAATAACAGATTTAGACTCACAAAAACTGCAGATGTTTAACTTGTTGGATATATGTCATAGCTATATGAAATGTTTTAAAAAGTAAAATATTCAATGTAAAGCACTCGGCAAGAAGTTATTGGGAATAAAAATAAAATTTTAGGGAAAAAGGGCTTTTAGGAATGAAAAACATATTTGTAGAAATCAGAAATGCTGTGGATGGGTTAAACATCAGCTTGATGCAAGAAAGAGAGAAATGGTAAACTGGAAGATATATCCAAAAGCTATCCACAATACAGGAAAAGAAGGAATAAGGAAATGAGAAAATAGGAAAAAGATTTTAAGAGATCTTGGAGGATAGCGTGATAAGGACCAACATAAGTCTACTTGCAGACTCATGTAGGGAGCATGGGGGGATGGGGGAAAGGCAATACTTAAATCTTTCAGAAAGGATAAAAAATATGAATCTGCAGATCTAATAAGTACAACTTGTTCTAAACAGGATGAATCAAAATAAATCCCCTAAGATGTGTCTTAGTGAAACTAGAAGATACCAAGGACAAAAAATATCATGCATTTAGAGAGGCAGGATAAGATCATGTCTTGTTTAGGATGAAAGCAAAGATATTGTTTAACTTTAGATTTTGTTATATTAAAACATATAACAAAGTAAAAGTTCAATGGTAATCAAAAAGAAATTAAAAATAGAGTGTGAACATTTGAGTGGGAGAAAAGATTGAATAACAAAAAAATCAAATTATTCAGTCCAAAAATGGTAAGAAAGAAATATGGCAGAAGTAGAAATTAAGTGAAAAAGTGCAAAATATTTCAAGAATCAGGTTAACCAAATGGATTGCACTCAGAAATTGTTTTCTAAAAAGTGAATCACATTGAATTTAGTAAATGTGATTTAGTTTTCTCATGGTTAAAGACAATGGCAGTTATGTAATAATCTCTCACAAATTTCCTTCACAAATATAATGAAACAACTACATAACCAGGAAAATCCTACACAAAAAACATGGCCTCACCATTTATATCAGTTTGCTCAGGCTGACATAACAACATACCACAGGCTGGGTGGCTTAAACAAAATAAAGTTATTTCTCCTTGGAGCCTGGAAGTCCCAAATCAAGGTCCGGCGGGGTTCCATTTCTGGTGAAGGCTCTCTTCCCCATTTGTAGATAGCTACTATGTCCTACATCTCTTTACTCTGAGTACACGTAGAGGGAGAGGGAGAAAGTGGGCTCTCTGGCGTCTTTTCTTAGACGGACACTAAGCCTATTGGATCTAGGCCCCATCCCTATAATCTCTTTTAACCTTACTTCCTTACTCCAAATATAGCCACACTGGGTGCTAGAGCTTCAACATATGAATTATGGGGTTGTGATGGGGGAAACATGTACATTTAGTCCGTAACATTTTGCCCCTGGTTGCCCAAAATTCATTCTTTCTCACATACAAAATATGCTCATCACATCCTAGCACCCCCCAAAGTCTTAACTCATTTCAGCATCAACTCTGAGATCATATCTAAATATGATCTCAAATCAGATGAATGAGTCTGCAGGTAAGATTTATCCTGAGGTGAAATAATACCACACATCTTCAACCATCTGATCTTTGACAAACCTGACAAAAACAACAAATGAGGAAAGGATTCCCTATTTAGTAAATGGTGCTGGGAAAACTGGCTAGCCATATGTAGAAAGCTGAAACTGGATCCCTTCCTTACACCTTATACAAAAATTAATTCAAGATGGATTAAGGACTTAAATGTTAGACCTAAAACCATAAAAACCCTAGAAGAAAACCTAGGCAATACCATTCAGGACATAGGCATGGGCAAAGACTTCATGACTAAAACACCAAAAGCAATGGCAACAAAAGCCAAATTGACAAATGGGATCTAATTAAACTAAAGAGCTTCTGCACAGCAAAAGAAACTACCATCAGAGTGAACAGGCAACCCACAGAATGGGAGAAAATTTTTGCAATCTACCCATCTGACAAAGGGCTAATATCTAGAATCCACAAAGAACTTAAACAAATTTACAAGAAAAAATCAAACAACCCCATCAAAAAGTGGGCGAAGGATATGAACAGACACTTCTCAAAAGAAGACATTTATGCAGCCAACAGACACATGAAAAAATGCTCACCATCACTGGCCATCAGAGAAATGCAAATCAAAACCACAGTGAGATACCATCTCACACCAGTTAGAATGGCAATCATTAAAAAGTCAGGAAACAATAGGTGCTGGAGAGGATGTGGAGAAACAGGAACACTTTTACACTGTTGGTGGGACTGTAAACTAGTTCAACCACTGTGGAAGACAGTGTGGCAATTCCTCGAGGATCTAGAACTAGAAATACCATTTGACCCAGCCATTCCATTACTGGGTATATACCCAAAGCATTATAAATCATGCTGTTACAAAGACACATGCACACATATGCTTATTGCGGCACTATTCACAATAGCAAAGACTTGGAACCAACCCAAATGTCCATCAATGATAGACTGGATTAAGAAAATGTGGCACATATACACCATGGAATACTATGCAGTCATAAAAAAGGATGAGTTCATGTCCGTTGTAGGGACATGGATGAAGCTGGAAACCATCATTCTCAGCAAACTATCACAAGGACAGAAAACCAAACACCACATGTTCTCACTCATAGGTGGGAATTGAACAATGAGAACACATGGACATAGGAAGGGGAACACCACACACTGGGGCCTGTTGTGCAGTGGGGGGAGGGGGGAGGGATAGCATTAGGAGAAATACCTAATGTAAATGACGAGTTAATGGGTGCAGCACACCAACATGGCACATGTATACATATGTAACAAACCTGCACATTGTGCACATGTACCCTAGAACTTAAAGTATAATAATAAAAATGAAAAATAAAAATAAAAAATTTTTTAAAAAAGATTTATCCTGAGGCAAAATTCACTTCCGGCTATGAACCAGTAAAACAAAGTACAAGTTATGTGTTTTCAAAATACAGTGGTGTGACATGCATAGGATGGATATTCTCATTCAAAAAAGAAGAAATGAGAAAAAAAAATGACACTGATGAGTCCTAAACAATTCTAAAACCTAGCAAGACAAATTCTGTGAAATCTGAAGTATCCAGAATAATGCTCTTGAGTTCAATGCTCTCTCCTCCAGGCTTACAGGGGTGGTAGTGATGCAGGGCAGTTAAGCCCCAAATTGAGGCTTAGCCCAGGAGGGTTATTTGCTTTGCCCAGGACGGAATTCAAGGGCAAGCCAGTGGTAGAAGAAAACAGCTTTACTGAAGCGGCAGTGTTGCAGCTGCAGCATTGTTGCAACTCAGGCAGTGTTACAGCTCCGGAACAGCTCCTGCAGAGCAGGGCTACCCCATAGGCAGTGAAGAGCAGTAGCTCAGGGCTATTCCGCAGTCATCTTTATACCTACTTTTAATTACATGCAAATTAAAGAGCAGTTTATGCAGAAATTTCTAGGGAAAGGGTAGTAACTTCTAGGAGGTGGGGTCATTGCCATGAAAAGGGGTGGTAACTCCCAGATGTTGCCATGGTAATGGCAAACTGACATGGCACTCTGGTGGATGTCTCTTATGGAAAGCTGCTTCTGCCCCATGCCTGTTTGAGGGAGTCAATTTGGTCCAATGCCTGAGCCCCGACTCTTGGATTGAGTCCCACCTCTGGAGTCAAGTCTCACCTCCTGCCTCAGTAGCATCACCCCAACAGCTCTGTGAGGGTAGCCCCACCACTGAGACATTAGGCCATGGCATCCTTGACCCAAAAAAACAAAAAGGCCCCAACCTTTGACCTCAACAGAATGACCTTTAATGCCCATAGTTATAACACCATAGTTATAACAACATTCCATTCATAATTATTTATGTATTCTCTAAGAAGATGGAGGCTCTTTTTGAGTCCTCATCAGAATCACCTTTAACATTCATCTTTCTTCTAACAGTCTTTTAGAGCAATTTAGGCTTGGTTTAGCATATATCTCAAATTCCTCCAGCCTCTGCCCATTACCCAGCTCTAAAGCTGCTTCCACATTGTTACAGCAACATCCCACTTATTGGTACCAAAATCTCTATTAGTCAGGATTCTTCAGAGAAACAGAAGCATATATACATATATATATATATATATATATACACACACATATATATATACACACACACACACATATATATACATATATACAGAAACAATAGTATATACATACATACTGTTGACTCGAACAGTATTTGAACTATGTGTGTTCACTTATATGCAGATTTTTTTCAATAAATACACTGGAAAAACTTTTGAACATGTGCAATAATTTGAAAAACTCAGATGAACTGTGTAGCCCAGAAATGTTGAGAAAATTGAGGAAACTTTAGATGTCACGATTGCATAAAATATATGTAGATACTAGTCTATTTGATCATTTACTACAATAAAATATACATAAATCTGTTACAAAAAGTTATACTCGGTCAAACATGCACACACAGACCACACATGGCACTATTTTCAGTCAAGAGGAATGTAAACAAATGGAAAGATGCAGTATTAAATCATAACTGCATAGAATTGACTATAATACTCACTGTAGTACTACAATAATTTTGTAGCCATTTCCTGTTGCTATTGTGGTGAACTCAAGTGTTGGGAGTATCCTCTTAAAACGCCACGTGACACTAATCACTAATCATCTCCATATGAGCAGTCTGTCTCTTCAGAAAATTGCATATTACAGTAAAAAGTGTTCTCTTGCAGTTCTCAAGCATTTTTCATCATGTTTAGTGCAATGCCATAAGCCTCGAATAGCACCATGGGACCCATACAAAGTGCCATGAGTGATGCTGGAAGGGCTCCCAGGAAGCAAAGCCATGACATTACAAGAAAAAGTTGAATTGCTTGATATGTGTGCAGCTTTGCTTGATTGAGGTGTGCAGCTGTGGTTGCCCACCATTTCACAGATAAATTAATCCAGCATAAGGAGTGTTATAAAAAAAGAAAAGGAAATTCTTAAAGCCATCACTGCAGCTACCACAGCAGGTGGGAAAACCTTGCATTTCTTTTGGAAAATAGCTTTTTATCTCATATTGAAAATGCAGCTTTTATTTGAGTGCAGAATTGCTATAAGAAAGGCACACCTATAGACTCTAAAATGATTTGAAAACAGGCAAAGTCATTATATGACAAATCAAAGTAAAAGGAAGGCAAAGGATCTAAAGCTGGAGAATTTAATGTCAGCAAAGGATGGTTTGATAATTTTACAAAGAGGTTTGGCTTTAAAAAACGCAAGATAACAAGAAAAACACCTTCTGCTGGCCCAGAGGCAGCAGACAAATTCCCAGATGCCATTAAGAAAATCATTGAGGAGAAAGGGTATCTGCCTGAACAGGTTTTAATACACACAAAAGTGCTCTATTCTGGAAAAAAAAAATCCACAAAGGACATTTATTAGTAGGGACGAGAAAAGAGCACCAGGATTTAAGGTAGAAAGAGATAGGCTAACTCTACCTTTTTGTGCAAATGCAGTCAAATTTATTATTAGGAATGCCCCCATCTATAAAGCTGCTAACCCCCAAGCCTTGAAGGGAAAAGATACATACCTACTTCCAGTCTTCTGATTGCACAAGAAGGACTGGACAACAAAAATCATTTTTCTGGATTGGTTCCACCCATGCTTTGTCCTTGAAGTCAGGAAATACCTTGCCAGTAAAAGACTGCCTTTTAAAGTTCTTTTGATATTGGACAATGCCCCTGGCCACTCAGAACTTTATGAGTTCAACAAGCAAAGTGGTCCACTTGCTCCCAGTCACAATGTGTTTAACTCAGCCTCCAAATCAGGGAGTCACAGGACCTGTAGGGCCCATTACACATGGTACTTTATGGAAAGGATTGCCAACACTATGGAAGAGAACCCCTGTAGAGAGAACATTATGAAAGTCTGGAAGGATTACACCACTGAAGATGCCACAGTCATTATAGAAAAAGCCACAAAAGCCATCAAACCTGAAACAATGAATTGCTGCTTGAGAAAACTGTATCCAGATATTGTACATGACTTCTTAGGACTTACAAAGAGCCAATCAAGGAAATCATGAGAGATTGTGACAGCAAAAAAAAAAAAAAAAAAAAAAAGTGGAATGTGAAGGGTTTCAAGATATGGATCTTGGAGAATTCAGAAGCTAATACATGCCACACCAGAGGAATTAATAGAAGATGACTTGATGCAGATGAGTGCTTCCAAATCTGTGCTAGATGATGAAGAAAATGTAGAAGAAGCAGTGCCAGAAAACACATTTACATTAGACAATCCGGCAGAAGGATTCTGATTATTCAACACTGTTTTTTATTTCTTTTACAACTTGGACCCATCTATGATGTAGAAACATTTTTAGGGAAATGAAAAAGCAAAACGTTAGAGGGGAATTATGACACATTCCTGTAAAGTTACACTAAGTATGTCTGACTCTCCTGCTTCTCCTTCCAACTCCTCCACCTCTGCCACTCCTGGGACAGCAAGATTAACCCACTGTCCTCCTTCTCCCCCTCAGCCTACTCAGTGTGAAGATGATGAGGATTAAGACCTTTATAATAATCCACTTACACTTAGTGAATGGTAAATATATTTTCTCTTCTTTATGTTTTCTTAGCAACACTTTTTTTCCTTTGGTTTACTTTATTGTAACTATAAAATATACAATATAAAAAACATAGAAAATATTGTTAATCAACTGTATAAGTTAACAGTAAGGCTTCCAGTTGATAGTAGGCCATTAGCAGTCAAGTTGTTGGGAAATCAAAAGTTATACATGGATTTTTGGCTGTACAGGAGAGTTGACACCCAACCCCCACATTGTGAAGGATCAACTATATATAAGAAATTATCTCACGTGATTATGGAGGGTGACAAGTCCCCAGATCTGCAGTTGAGAAGCTGGAGGCCTAGGAGAACCAAGGGTATAATTCTAGTCCAGGACCTAGGAAGAACTGATGTTTCAATTCTAGTTCAAAGTCAGGAAAAATGGATGCCCCAGCTTAAGACAGTCAAGCAAGGAAAAATTCCCTCTTCTTTGTGAGAGGGATTGATTTTTTTCTATTCAGATCTTCAACTGATTGGATCAGGCCCACTCTGATTAGGAGAGGCACTATGCTTTACTCAGTCTATTAATATAAATGTTAAATTCATCACAAAATACATAATACACCTCACATAAATACCCACAATAATGTTTACCAAATATCCGGGCATTCTGTGGCTCAGTCAAGTGGACACATAAAATCAGCCATTACATCATTACTTAAAGGCTGAGAATGCCAAAATTGCCAAAATCACCAAATTCCAATCTGCAGCCTCTCATACTTGCCTCTACTGCCCCCAGCTAGCTGCAAGTCTTTACAGTGAACAAATGCAAAGCAAGAAAGAAAACAAAGCATACTAAAAGACTTAAACAGATTATGTTCATGGAAGAATTGATTAAAACTATACCAAAAGACACCAGACCCAAGTGATTTCACTGTGGTACGCTATGACACCTTCAAACATCAAATAATCCCAATGCTGCATGAATTATTCAAGAGTATTGAAAAAGAAAGAAAACTCTCAAATTCCTTTTTTGAAGTAAATATGTTATCAACTGATACAGCAGATAAAGGGAAGAAAACCAGAGACTAATCCCACTAATAAATATCAATGCAAATATACCCACACAAAATATTAGTAAACAGAATCCAATACCACTTTAAGAAAGTAATATGGGATGACCAACTGGGTTTTATTGCCAGAATATAAATTGGCTCAATATTAGAAACAACGTTAATATATTTCACCATAGTAATAAATATAAAGGGGAATACATGATTATCTTCATAAATGCTGACAAAAACCTTTGACCAAACTTAACACTCATTCATTAATAGAAAACACTCAAGAAATAGGAATGAAGAGGTACTTTCATAACATAATAATCTCTATCTAGAGACAGAGATAGAAATAGAAATTTAGAGATAGTGATGGAGATGGAGATAGGTAAAGACATGTAAATGCTAAAGCCAGAATCTTATTTAATGGAAAAACATTAGCTGAGGAACAAGGCAAAGATTTTTACTATCTCTATTATTCAACATTGTACTAGACTATAAACCAATATGATTAAACAAGAGAAAGTCATTTGTGACATAAGAATGGGCAAAGAAGAAATAGAATTATCTCTATTTGCAGATGGTAAGATATTATACCTAGAAACCCTCAAAGAATCAATGATAAAACTAACTTAAATTGTAAAAGAATTCAGGAACCTATCAAAATATAAAATCAGTAGCCTTTATATACACAAACAATAAACAGTTAGGAGACATATACATGGTAGAGAGAAGCTCTTTCACCCTTGCAACAAAAGAGATAAAAGACTTAGTATGACATTTAACAAGAAATGTGCAAAACCTACATGATGACAATTTTAAATCATCCCTAAAAGACACAAAAGTTTGAAAAAATAGCCCCTGCTCTTGGATATGATGATTCAACATTATAAAGATGTCAGTTTTTCCTAAATAAATTTGTAAATTAAATGCAATCGCAATAAAAATACCAAAAAGCAATTTTAAGGAGATAGGGAAGTTCATACTAAAGTTTGTATGAAAAAAGGCAAACATGCACAAATGTTCAAGACAATAATACAAAAGAAAGAACTGCAAGAAAGAACTAGCCCTACCAAACATTAAAACATATTATAAAGACTCTATAATTAAAATATTATAACAGTGGCGCATAAATAAGCAAATAAATCAGTAGAATTGAATAAAAGTGCAGAAATAAACACAAATATCTATGAAAATTTAGTATATGACCAAGGTGCCATCTCACATCACTGGCAGAAAGGATAGAAAATCTCAGTAAATGGTCTTAATACCTGAAGAGTGAATCAGCCACTTGGAAGATTGGACAAAATAATTATTTTAAATGTAGCATAAAAAGATGAAAAGCTAAGATAAAAATTGAAACATTTGGAATAGACACCCAAAACTGTGATACTCCCCTGAAGATATTTCTAGAAGCAAATAATAGAAGAAATGAAAGAGAAGCAATACTAGAACAAATAATGGCTGAGAATTTTCTAGAACTGGGAGAAAAAAAAAATGAGTCTTTAGAATGACAGTGCTCACTAAGTCCAAGAAGGAAAAAAACATAACTTTACTCAAAACACCATGAACACAAACATAACAACAGAGAAAATTATAAAATCTACCAGAGAAACAAGAAAGTTTCATCTTCAAAAATAAGAATCAGAATGACATCAGAACTTTTATCAGTACCACAGAATGCAAGAAAGCAATGGAAAAATATTTCTAAATCCTGAGAGAAAATAATTTGATCCTTGAATTCAATGCATAATAAAACTTCATGAATAAAAATAAACTCTTCAAAAGTAAAAGTAAAATATGGGTATGTTAACATGTTAGCATATTATACTACCTATAGATTCTCCCAGAAGTCAACTTCAAAAGGCAATGTTTTAACAAGAAGAAAAACAAATCCAAAAGGAAGAATTTTGATAAATAATTCAATGGAAAGTTAAACATAAGTAGTAAAAACCTATCAGTGATATCTAAATAAATAAAAATATATGAACAATTAGTTCAAATTAAAATTCCAGATGATAATATTGGGTTACTTGGGATTTTGGGGGATAGGGGAGGAGCAGCTTGTGAGTGGAACCCTAGAAGAAAAAATATTCTAACATTCTTATCTTATCTTCTCCAGTGGAATAAGAAGGTAACTGAATAACACAAGACTTTTTAGAAAATTCTAAGTTTAATAAAGTGTTCAAAATGTATAGGTAATCATAGAAGGATAGAAATTGAATGTATAGCTTTTAAACCAGAGGAGGAAAAAATGGAGGAAAATAAAAATACTGTATTTCAAAGAGATGAAGGTAATGTGGTTCTCAGAGGAGCATTTATAAATTTTAAATTATTTATTAAAGTAAATACAATTATTTATTAAAAACAAGTGGAATTAAATAAATTATTTTTTCTACAGAATGTGCTAGAAAAAGAATAACAAAATAAACCCAAATAAAGCAAAGGGAAAAAATAAAGAAACCTCTTCAATCATTGTGGAAGACAGTGTGGCGATTCATCAAGGATCTAGAACTAGAAATACCATTTGACCCAGCAATCCCATTACTGGGTATATAATCAAAGGATTATAACTCATCCTACTATAAAGACACATCCACACATATGTTCATTGCAGCACTATTCACAATAGCAAAGACTTGGAATCAACCCAAATGTCCATCAGTGATAGACAGGATAAAGAAAATGTGGCACATATACACCATGGAATACTATGCAGCTGTAAAAAAGGATGAGTTCATATCCTTTGCAGGGACATGGATGAAGGTGGAAACCATCATTCTCAGCAGACTAACAAAAGAACAGAAAACCAAACACGCACGTTCTCAGTCATAAGTGGGAGTTGAACAATGAGAACACATGGACACAGGGAGAGGAGTATCATACACCAGGGCCTGTCCGGGGATGGGGAGTAGGGGAGGGATAGCATTAGGAGAAATATCGAATGTAGGTGACAGGTTGCTGGGTGCAGCAAACCACCATGGCACGTGTATACCTATGTAACAAAACTGCACGTTCTGCACATGTACCCCAGAACTTAAAATATAATAAAAAAATAAAATAAAGAAACCTCAAAATCATAAGCATACAAAAAAATCAGAATTGATTAAACAAACAGTTGATTAAACAAACAGGAATAAAGTGCTTCTGTATGTTCAAGAAAAAAAAACACCCCAGCACTTTGGGAGGCTGAGGTTGGTGAATCACTTGAGGTCAGGAGTTCAAGACCAGCCTGGCCAACTTGGTGAAACCCGGTCTCTATGGAATATACAAAAATTAGCTGGGCATAGTAGCAGGCACCTGTAGTCCCAGCTACTTAGGAGGCTGAAGCACAAGAATTGCTTGAACTAGGGAGGCGGAGGTTGTAGTGAGCCGGGATCCCAACACTGCACTCCAGCATAGGCAACAGAGTGAGACTCTGTCTCAAAAAAAGAAAAAAAGAAAAGAAAAAGGAAAAACACAAAAGAATAGTAATAGTAAGTTAAAAACAAAGAAAACACAAGTAATAAATGTAGCTACAAGTGAAAATATTTTAACTATATTTTTTATAATTGTATAAAATCCATTTATATAATGGATTTATACTATCCATTATATTTTTCAAATACCAATAAACTCGAAAACCTCCATGAAACAGACAATTTTCCAGAGAAATATAAATGGCCAAGGAGCAGTAGAAAGCCTGAATAGACTAATTCACACAGAATGAATTAAAAAAAAAAAAATGCCAGTGTTCTACTGTTCCAATGTTACTGGTATCATATAAAACCAGGGTTTATCTACTTACACTTCTTACTGTGCTAATTTCTGTTTTTGAGTGGGTGGGGTGGGGGGGACAGAGTATTGCTTTTGTGGCCCAGGCTGGAGTGCAGTGCCATGATCTCAGCTCACTGCAACCTCCGCCTCCTGGGTTCAAGCGATTCTCCTGTCTCAGCCTCCCGAGTAGCTGGGACTACAGGCGCACGCCACCACGCCCAGCTAATTTTTGTATTTTTAGTAGAGATAGGGTTTTACCGTGTTGGCCAGGATGGTCTCGATCTCTTGACCTCATGATCCACCTGCCTCGGCCTCCCAAAGTGCACTGTGCTAATTTTTAAGTTAAGACTTTGTTGACACTAACATGAACTACGAAAAGGAATTTAAGCAGCTCTCATAACCTGTGCCTACAGGCAGTTAGCATCTGGTTATTTTTACAAATATGAAAACCTTTACTAAATTTGTTCTGTTTTTTAAAAAATTAAATACTATAACAATTGATATAATAAAGGCATCACCTTCACATCCAGTGGCATTCTTTTTTTTTTTTTAATTTTTTTTTCTTTTATTATTATACTTTAAGTTTTAGGGTACATGTGCACATTGTGCAGGTTAGTTACATATGTATACATGTGCCATGCTGGTGTGCTGCACCCACTAACTTGTCATCTACCATTAGGTATATCTCCCAATGCTATCCCTCCCCCCTCCTCCCACCCCACAACAGTCCCCAGAGTGTGATGTTCCCCTTCCTGTGTCCATGTGATCTCATTGTTCAATTCCCACCTATGAGTGAGATTATGCGGTGTTTGGTTTTTTGTTCTTGCGATAGTTTACTGAGAATGATGATTTCCAATTTCATCCATGTCCCTACAAAGGACACGAACTCATCATTTTTTATGGCTGCATAGTATTCCATGGTGTATATGTGCCAGATTTTCTTAATCCAGTCTATCATTGTTGGACATTTGGGTTGGTTCCAAGTCTTTGCTATTGTGAATAGTGCCGCAATAAACATACGTGTGCATGTGTCTTTATAGCAGCATGATTTATAGTCCTTTGGGTATATACCCAGTAATGCGATGGCTGGGTCAAATGGTATTTCTAGTTCTAGATCCCTGAGGAATCGTCCAGTGGCATTCTTAATTACATTAAATTTATAGTTTCCTTTGCCTTGGAATGCTCACTTCATAGAGACCATGCTTTTCAAGTTTCCAGATATAATAATAAATGTCCAAGTTGTACTTGATTAGAAAATACAGGGGGAAAATCCTATAGGAAGTAAAAGGAAAGTTCTTCTTTCAGTATTCCAGGTATCTAAGTGAAAGAGAGAATGAGAGAGAGAGAGAGAAAAAGAGAGAGAAAGCAAGAGAGATATAGAAGGAACTAAAACTCTCTTAAAGTACAGTTAATAATAATAACATACAGTCAATAAAAGCTATTAATAATAATATATAGTGAATAAGAAACTATTAATCCTGATTGTCACTGTGGTAGGCAAAATAATGCCCACCCCCTCCAAAGATGTTCAGCCCTAATCCTGGAACCTGTTGATATGTTACCCTACACAGAAAAGGGCCTTGGCAGGTATAATTGAGGTTAAGAATCTTAAAATAGGGAGATTGTCCTGAATTGCCTGGGTTGGCCCAATCTAATCACATGAGCTTTTAAAAGACAGCTTGCCCTGGCTAGAGACAGAGATGCAACAGAAAGGAAGGTCAGAGACACCAAGTGTGAGCAGGATTTGACACCACAACCATTGCTGATTCTGAGATATAGGGGACAACATGCAAGGGCAGCAGGGAGATCTCTGGGAGCTGAGGGCTGCCCCTGGACTACAGACAGCAAGGAAACAGGGGCCAGGATCTCACAACAACAAGGACCCAAATTCTGCCAACCACCTGAATGAACTTGAGTGTGGATCCTTCCCCAGTGCCTCCAGAACATAATGCAGCTCTGCTATCTTGATTTTACTCTGGTGCAACCCTTAGCAGAGAAACCAGCTGAGCCACACTGCATCCAGACTTCTTACCAACAGAAACAACAGGTGCTGTTCTAAGCCGCTAAATTTGTGGTCATTTGTATTGCAACAATAGAAACCTACTACAACCACCAACCAAAATAGCAAATATAAAGCCAAGATGACCTTACTCTACACACACCAAAGAAAGCCTTCAAGTGTTCCCAAGGCTATCCCCATGATTTGGAGTAGGCATTTTCCAATACTGAACTCACCAACACGAAGACATTTTCCATCATGTTAGCCTCATCTTTACTCCCATGTGTTAGCACATTATGATGAAATGAAACCACTGCTTCGTTCTACTGGCATTTCACCATATGGTAGTGGATCTGTGTTTGCTATTATGTGCCAGATGGCATTGGGACACCAACCACTTACAGTGTCATCTAAAACATAGAGACAAACAAAAATTGAGGAATCCCTGCTGTAGAAACTGGATACAAGAAGTTTCATGAGTATGTTAGGATTCATGATATTTAATTTGAACTGACCATGAGCCCGTTTTAAGACTTCTGTCCCAGTGTGAGTCTGACCCCTAAATTATACCACCACAACACAGTGCTGAAACCTTCTTTGTTATCTGTGATACCTTTACCAATCAGAGAAAGCAATTTAAAATACTCAGGTTCTCAGCCATCTGTCATTATTAATGCCCAATTTTATTATGTAACTTCCTTGGAAAGTTTTGATGGTATGAGATCTTTCTGACACACAGCTACAAGTTGATAAAAAGGCACATATTTTACCATGTGACATTTCATATTGGTTTGCATCTGATACAAGGTGAAAGATTTGGAGGATCGAGAAACTTCCTATCACAAGCTATTCACATGCTATTTAGCTATCATAAGCTATTTAGCTACTTAGCATTAGCTATTTATTTATTGTCAACATGAACTATTTGCCATAAATATGACTTTTTAAAATATAATATATTGTTATAGATTTCTATATCACATGTGCTGGTGACATCACATGGAAACCAACCAGGAATATTTTTCAGCTAGATGGGAAGGGTCTTGTCCTGGAGTTTAAGGTCAGGATACAAGGATACTATAAGCCAAGCACAGTGGCTCATGCCCATAGTCCCAGCTACTCAGGAGGCTAAGGTAGAAGGATCCCTTGATCCCAGGAGTTCAAGTCCAGCCTGGGTAACATAGTGAGACTTTGGCTCTAAAAAATAAAAAGAAAGAAAAGAAAAAGGATGATATAGACAAAAGGTGGCCTGTTAAGAGAATGCCAAAGATCCACATGTTACTCTATGATCAAGAACAGGAGTCAGTCCTTCTAAATTGACTTATAAGTCTTGACAGTCTCCATTGATAGAGAGCTGGGGATTTATGAGAAAATCCTACTCTGAGAATTTTTCATAATTTTGCTACTGTTAATTAAGGTAGAAAAAAAAGGATTTCTGCATCAGTACTTAAGCATTCCAAGACTGTCATTATAGGTCCAGAACACAGGATGTCTAGACTAATATATAACCTCTCAAGAAAATTAACTGCAAGAGACATCCTTCCTGATGTACAATCACAAGAAATATTTTCTGTTTAATCATCTGGCATTAACTTTTTTTTCAGCAACACCTGTTGAAGACTAACTAAGTACCCAATGTGAAGGCAACACACACTTAGTTCATTTTAAGTTAAGAAGTAGAGTCACTTGGAATTTCTGTACTCACACATACAGGACAGAAATAGCCTAACAACCAAGTACCAACTAAGTGGTTACAATTTGATATGACTTTTGGGAAAAAGGGTGCTAAGAAATGCTGTGTGTTATAATTTCTTTTGTGTTTCTTTCTCTGTGTTGATTACCCCAGAGCAATTTTACAGCAAGAAAGTGATGACTTGTTAAAGAACTCTTCTTTCCTTTTCTGTTTATCACTGTTCTCAGCAGAGGTGAGAGATGCTTCATATGGGTACTAGAACTTGACAAACTCTGTTCATTCTTTTTTCTTTTTACATGTAATTGAATTTTTTTTATTATACCTTAAGTTCTGAGGTACATTTGCAGAACGTGCAGGTTTGTTACATAGGTATACACGTGCCATGGTGGTTTGCTGCTCTGTTCATTCTTTTACAAAACAAAAATTTTTTAATATTTACTGTGTGCCAGATGATGTAAGAAGAAAACTGCAAAAGATAGAGTTTCCACTTAAAAAGTAGGATCTCACAGCTTATAAAAAGATTCTTGCATATACATTTATAATGACTAGAATATCTACAACAAATATCATGTCTCTATTTTATGAATAAGTTCACATGAGGAATTTATTATGGGCCCGTCCATGTTTCTATATTTCATAATTTTTTTAAAAATTACATCCTCCAGCATTTCCACACACTTCTAAAGCATTCCACATTAGAAGTTTTATATTTATTTCTTTCATAGCACACATTTTAAATAAGCTTCTACCAGAGACGGAAACACATAGTTCAGTTAGAACACTAACTCTCGATCATACTATAAAATAGATTCTTTCTATGGAGGTGTTTTATAGACTTTCCCTGTCCAATATTTCAGCTACCACAAGTTGAACATTCTTAATGTGACAATCCAAACTCTGAAATGCTCCAAAATTCAAAACCTTTTGAGCACTGACATCACAATCTCAGTGGGAAATTACACACCTGACCTCATGTACACAAACTTGGTTTCACGCACAAAATTATTTAAAATATTATATAAAGTTGCCTTCAGCTTACATGTATAAGGTGTATATGAAACATAAATGAATTTTGTGTTTCAACTTGGGTCTCAACCCCAGTGTATCTCAGTATAAATATTCCAAAATTTGAAAAAAGTTGAAACTGGAAATACTTCTAGTCTCAAGCATTTTGGATAAGGGATACTCAATCTGTAATGATACATGGCTATTTAAATTTAAATTCTTTAAAATTAAATAAAGTTAAAAATGCATTTCCTCATTTGCCTTTGCGGTAATCACATTTCAAGTGCTCAATAGCTAGCAGCTGCTATGATGGACTGCAGAGATTATTATCTTCATCACAGAAAGTTCTACTGAACAGCACATTTACGGTTGTCACTTATAATTATCCTTACCCACAAAGGATAATATTTTCTTGGCCTAATGTCTTAGCCTTTAAGTACAATTGTAGGCTGCAAAGGAGGTGTGAGAAGATATACACCAACACTTATTGTTACCTAAGGGAACTGATGCTTAGAAAGTTTTAGTTGACAGAAAGATCACTCCTGAGGTTTTCCTCTAGATTCAGAAGTCCCTCTTGCATTAAAATTTTTAGCCTTTTGTTCCCTGACAGAAGAATGGTGGCTGATTGAAATCAAGGGCTCGGACGATCAGATTTTATCTACTATGACAGTGCTTATTGATTTGTAATAGCTGCTTGATTCACGCTCTTGAGCTCAGAGAGAAAAAGTGGTTTGATATATTAATGATGACTTGCAGGTCAAGAGTTGATGTCACGCTTGCCAGGCATTTTCTATCACTGCAAGTATGAGCTAGAAACTAATATAGCTGGCAACTAATATGTATACACGGAGTAGTTAGAAGCACATGCAGAAGTAAGACAGTGTGGAGGCAGGCACTGATATATTTCATATCCTCTAATGGAAAAATCATTCTTCAGTTTGGGCTCTGGTACTTTAGAGGGATAGAGAGAGAACTCTGGTGATAAAAAGAAAAACTTTAAATTACTCTCTTACTCATTCCCTAAACCCTGAATAACCCAGTCCACCTTCTCTCCATCTTTTATAAGAGATATGAGTCCTGACTGAAGCAAAAAAAAAAACACTCTTTGGAATGGGTCTAAGAGACAAACTATAAAATAACTTTCCAAGAGAATCTTTTATGGAGAACGTAAAATGTCACCTCTTTTTGCAGGAGTCCAGAAATATGTTTTCTTAAAAAACAGAAGACATATGAAAAGACTGTTTCAGGGCACATGATTCTGCAGTAGTCTCTAGAGAGATTTATGAAATACAATTTCTCATTCTTAGAATGTTGCCTATCCATTGTGTAAGTTCCTAGTGCACTCTGTCCCTAGAAAAATAATGTATCATTGGCCGGGTGCGGTGGCTCATGCCTGTAATCCCAGCACATTGGGAGGCCAAGGTGGGCAGATCACCTGAGGTCAGTAGTTCAAGATCAGCTAAAATACAAAAAAATTAGCCGGGAGTGGTGGTGGGCTCCTATAATCCCAGCTACTCGGGAGACTGAGGCTGGAGAATTGCTTGAACCCAGGAGATGGAGGTTGCAGTGAGCCGAGATCACGTCATTGTACTCCAGCCTAGGCAACAAGAGCAAATCTCTGTCTCAAAATAATAGTAATAATAATAATAATAATAATAATGTATTATTTTGCTCACACACACAGAAAGGCAGTCTGAGATCTGCTTTACCTTTAATTTTCTATGTGGAAGGTTTGCTTTTATACATTTCAAAGCAAATTTCCAGCCTTTTCCATATAAAGCTCCTTGTTGAAAGCTCTGGTTCAGCCACTGTGAAGTTACTCAGAGGTTGAATCCAGTTTAAGAGTTGAATGGGAACTTAGCTTTACTTTCACTTTTCTATAGAATTTTGTCCATTATACTATGGACCATACATTCACTGAAAGAAAAAAAAATGTAAATCTCCTTTTTCCTCTTCGTTAGCAATGCTTATAGAATATATTGGTTAAACGAGTTTCTTTGATAAACTGTGGTTTTTCAATAATCTCTATAAAATTGTTCTCTATTTTCTGGGATAACAAAGAGTTTGCAGTATGAAAATAGAAGTAATTTCTAAAGTAAGTATTTAAAGAAAAAATTCTCTAGAAGACTCAATATATAATTGAATATTTGCTTCATTTGTGTGATCAGGAGCATATATATACACATTCATATAGAAGAAACATTAACATATATATATAGATAGATATATAGAGATATATAATTATTTTTAAAGACTAGTTTCACTCTGTCGCCCAGGCTGGAGTGCAGTGGCGAGATCTCAGCTCACTGCAACCTCCACCCACTGAGTTCAAGTGATTCTCCTGCTTCAGCCTCCTGGGTAGCTGGGATTACAGGCATGCACCAGCCTGCCTAGCTAATTTTTTGTATTTTTAGTAGAGATAAGTTTTTACCATGTTGGCCAGGCTGGTCTCGAATCCCCGACCTCAGGTGATCCGCCCACCTCAGCCTTCCAAAGTGCTGGGATTACATGCATGAGCCACTGCGCCCAGCTGAAAAAATATATCTAAGGAAAATAATTTAATTTGGTTCTTGTTGAAATGTTTACATTATTAAGATTTTTTTGCTCTAAGTTATAATTTGGTCCCACAGTTCATGATGGCATCATTCTGACAATCTTATTTCAATTAATTAAAGGCAATTCACCATTTAATAACGAAAATTCTTTGACGGCCTAAATCAAACTAGCAGGTATTAATCCACAACAATGTGGCTGCTAGATGATGGGCCTCTCCATGTTTCTTAAACATACACACTAGTTATAAAACAAGAACAAGAGTGACATAGAATAATGCACAGCCCTTCTACTAGCCAGATATTTCAGCATGCACAAAAGTGAATGTCTGAGGATTTATAGGTGTACTTTAAAAATTCAAAATATAAAACATAGAAGAAAATATAGGAATTTTTAATAATCTTGGAGTGGAGAAATAACCAAAATAGTCACTAAAGAGCGGTGGTTTTAAAAAAGTTATACATCTAGTCTATGCAATGTTATGCAGCTTTGAAAAAAACTACAGGAGGTAAAGTCTTGTGTGAGAAAACATCAAATATAATAATAAATATAATATGGTCCTACATGAAATATGTATGTAGTGTGTCAACATATATACACACATATATAATATCTGTCTGTAAAGCTTGTATATAAAATGAAGAATGCCTATATGAAGAGTATTTTTAATATGACATTTGAATGTTTTAATTACTAACCTTTCTCCAAAAACATGTATTAAAAAAAAATAAAACAAGGATAGACTTAAAGATTTAACCTGGAGATGCAAGTGGAATGTCCAACTTTTAACATTTACTGAGCGCTTGCAATGTGGCAGATATTAAATGAACATGTAAAGGGTGAATGATTATATTTCATGTAAATAATTATATTTACACAAAATGTAAATTTGTTCATTTAATCCTTATAGATCTGCAGGGCACAGTTAATAATTATATTTCATATATGAGATAACTAAGATTCATAGTGGTTGGCTAATTTGTCCACAGTTACACAGCTGATAAATGCCAACATGGATGCCTGATCAGTCTGACACCAAATTCTCTCTCTTTTGTGATGAATAGGTAAGAACTGTTTTATATTAACATATCAAAGCACCAGCTTATGAGAGTTGGTGTCTGCTTACTGAATTATGGTGTTTTATATATCTATATATGGTTATTTCCAAAGTACTTGAAAGTGTTCATTTAATTCAAGTATATCAATGCATATTGAATGCTTTGTATTAGGCACTACGCTAGGTCATAAGAACAAAAAGATGACTAAGAGGTTGTGTAGGTCCTCAAGCAGCTCAGTCCAGCAGAAGAGAAAAGGAAATAAACAAATATTTACAAAAACGCCATCCTAAATACCATGTAGTCAAGGTACAAAGTGCTTTGGTGGAAAGAAGGTGGCCTATTATTGGGGGGAATACATGCCAGTTGAAAACCTGTTTATAAGATCTATTTACTTAGCAAGCTTTTTCTACATACCATTTGGAACAGAATCTTAATATAAATTTTAATCAATTCCCAAATAGTGGATTTAAAATTTTTAAATGGTATCGTCATTAAGACTAACATTTAAGTGTATTTCACAAACAGCCTAACACACATTCTAGCTATTCTAAAAGGAAATAAGACCAATCATATAACATAGATAATTTTTTTAGAAAAAAAATTAGAGGAGAATGGAGGGGACATTCCTCTTTTAGTCATATGTTCATGAAATTCTTGAATGGTTATATAATAATTTATTGCCCTGTTAGTTTGGTTTTACAGGAAAAATTAAGAATAGAATATGACTGATTAACTCCTATCTGGAGTCTCTTCTCCACCTACAATTTCATGTGAACATCTATCAGACTCCACAATATGAATTAAATTAAGAAACATCAAAAAGTTTCTTTATTTTGCATGTTTTGCTCATAAATTACAGAAAGTTGAGAGTTGCACCGACCTTTTTAAAACATGATAATATTTTGAATGCTTAGATGTAAGTTACACCATATTAAAATATTTTAGTAATAATATGAGGAATATTTAAGGTTCTAATCAGTTCTTCTCATAGACAATACATATATTTTTCAATATTAAAAACAAAATCTTACTGCCAGTAAAATTATAGCACTCAAAATTCTGCTATTTTCTTAAGAAATTTTTAATTAAAACTTATTTTTATTCCAAACAAAATGGTGATAGCTCCATTTTTTGTTATCTGCTTAAGGTATCCTTTATAGAGTACTGTATAAACATACTACCATACTACCAAGAGACAAAAGGCAGGACAAATGATTCTTCCTTTGTACCACTCCAGTTGGCCTTTCTTTGATGGGCAACTACAGGGCTAATTCTCTCCTATATCTCTGTTCCTGTCTATTCTATTCCTAATTCAGTGGTCCCATAAACTGAAGTTGGGCAACCTAAGAGGAGGGAGGGGTAACTGGCATTGGAAACAAATGTGTTACTTAAGAAAGTATGTTGGAGATCAGATCAACCTCTTGATTAATACATCATTGTAGATGTCTCTTAACTCCATAAAATAGAGGACTTCACAACCATTCTTTTACTGTAATTAATGTTTTAGATTTCAGCTAAAAATCATCAGAGAGTAATCACCAGACCATAAGAATTAGGCATAGTCTTTTCATGGACTAATTTTATCTGTAAAGTGGGAAAGCTAAACTTGATCATCTTTAAGGACTGGCTCTTAAATTTGTGAGGTCTTGATGCTCAGGAATTAGGTAAAACATTTGTCTGCTCTTATGTATCAGGAATGTTTCTCTTCTTTATGCAGAAAGTATATAATTCTAAGCATTTTAACTTCTATTTTCATAAAAGAGTCAGGTAAATAGTCCATTAACACAGTAGAAGATTTAGAAGATTATTGGGCAGATTCCTATGACTTTCTGTGCCCCTAATAAAATATTAGCAAACTGAATAAAACAAAATAATAAAGACATACTAAACAAGCTAGGCTGTTTGTGAGTAGGTGAAGCAAACAGCAACCTAAGTTTTATTGTTTGAGAAAAACCAACACAGTCTCTCCTCCCGTCTTCCTCTCTATAAATAGACAGGTATAGGTGCATAAATATATTCATATATCTCAAATATGTACATTGCAAAAAAGATGGGAAGCAAATGAAACAAGTTGTCAAGAGTAGTTACCCCTGGATGGTGAACTACAAATGATTGTTATCTGGTTCTCTCTACTTTTTCTGCACTTCCTAAATTTCCCACTATTTATAATTTTAAAAATATATTTAGATACCACTAATTTGTTTCTACTAATAGCCCCCAGATGTGGGATGCTTGACATTTTTAGCAAGAAATAATTTTAAATAATTTTAGCATACAAGAGCATCTATGGCTTAAGTGCCTATAAGCAAGAAATGTAAGAAGTTTGATTTAAATACAGAAAAAGCTAACTTCACATGCCACAAAGGGGCACTTACAACAAGAAAAAAAAGTGTACTCTGGTACAAAGTGATGGTTGGTGGGAAGTTTACACTTCATAGTTTATATCAAGAGATTAGCTATGTCAATTTTGTAAGACCTACTCATTGCATGATGTATTGAACAAAGAGAAAAAAAGTATAAATCATCCATTGACTATTTGTGGGGTATTTAGAAGGAATTAAAGTAGAAATCTAAGGCATTTATTTTAATGTCATATTTTAGACTCCAGATTCAGAGAAGCCCAGTTCCTTGGAACCCTACTCGCCTTTAAGAAAAGATTACACTTACTGATGCGACAGGGTGTCTATACACATTGATGTGACACAATGAAATAGAAACTATAAAGCAACAGAAACATATGATTGGGTTTCATAAAGATGTGAAGGTGTTCGCACTCAACACGGACGCTGGGATTGAGCTGGTGTCCTCTTCTCCCTCCTCTCATTGCTGCACTTGAGATAAATAGAATCACAGAATTAGGAAAATTGCAGAGCTATGTTATGGAAACTAATTTGCAATTTCCAAAGAGAGTTACAGAAGAAAAAAAAAGTTAACTGCTTCTTCAGCCTTCCATAAATTATGAGTGCTTGATTAGAGAAGCAAGAGGCCAGAGAAACAGAGGAGTGGAGAAGAGGACTCCACAGATGAGCTTCTCCAGGAAGGTGAATGATGCCCCGTGATCTGGAGAAGGTCATGGATTCTAAACCAACAGTTGTTGGGAACATTCCGTGAGAACATGTGTCTTCTTTTGGATAGATACGACTGACAAAAAAAAAAAAAAAAGAGTCAACCTTCTGTTGCAACATGTGCCATAGAAGGCTTTTGAAGCTTTTACCTCATTATGACTGAAGATCTTGTCTGGGAAAATCATCAGAAGAAAGTATCTATGCTACTTGATTAATTGGAGGAAATGTTGAACATTTATTGACTTCAACTAAGTATGTGTTCAGATATTTCCTGTTTTTTTTTCCATGTTGGGGTGAGTAAATCTTTAGAATAGGTGATATTTTATTAAAAAGCAACCATTTATGAATGGTTGAATCAATATGTTAAATGCATTTACATGTATTTTGCATCGTTTTAATCCTCCTAAGATAGTCGTTACTAGCTTCATTTTTGACGTTAAATGACTGAAACCAAGAGAGTAAAATGACATACCTAAGGTCTCCCAGACTGCAAATGGAGGGATTGAAATGCAAAGCTATGTTTTCTGGCTGGAAAGTTCTTTTATTTGTTTATTTATTTGTTTTTTATTTATTTATTTATTTATTGAGATGTAGTCTCGCTCTTGTTGCCCAGGCTGGAGTGCAATGGCACAATCTCAGCTCACTGCAACCTCCACTTCTCAGGTTCAAGCGATTCTCCTGCCTCAGCCTTCCGAGTAGCTGGGATTACAGGTGTGTGCCACCACGCCTGGCTAATTTTTGTATTTTTAGTAGAGAATGGGTTTCTCCATATTGGCCAGGCTGGTCTCGAACTTCTGACTTCTGGTGATCCATCCGCCTCGGCCTCCCAAAGTGCTGGGACTACAGGCGTGAGCCACCGCACCCAGCTTCTGGCTGTAAATTTACTTTGCACATATAGCATCAGATCTCCATCTATCTAATGTGACTCATGTTAATGATATACCTATTATTCCTATTTTATGAAGAGCTCTTTTAAAGAATGGATCAAAAATATTGCTGGTTTTCATTAGTGAGAAAGCTTATATGATTTTTTTCTTCCAGTTTAAAATGTGAGAATTATTTCAGGATTTTTCCTAATATTGAACCATTTTTAAATTGCTGGCATCATGGTTTTTTTTTTCCCTTAATGTGTTGCTGGATTCAATCTTCTCATTTTATCTCCTATGTTTGCAGTTATTCATAAGTAAAATTGCCCTGTGGTTTTATTACGATACGTTATTTATGTCAAGTTTTGTTTTCACTTCTCTTTTTGTTTAAAAAAAAAAATCTTTGTTCATGCTTCACAACACATCAAATAGTTGTGGTATCATTTATTGCTTAAATTTGGGGAGACAATTCACCTAAGAAAAAAATAAAAAGTAAAGTTTCTCACATCTGAAGAATATGAAAATTGTCTCATTCTTTTTAGAGACAGACGGCCGGTCTCAAACTTCCAGGTTCAAACCATCTTCTTACTTCAGGCTTTTGAGTAGCTAGGACTACAAGTGCACCACCAGGCCGGGTATGCATCTTTTTTTTTGAGACAGAGTCTTGCTCTGTCTTCCAGGCTGGAGTGCAGTGGTGCCATCTCGGCTCACTGCAAGCTCCGCCTCCCGGGTTCACGCCATTCTCCTGCCTCAGCCTCCCGAGTAGCTGGGACTACAGGCACCTGCCACCACACCCGGCTAATTTTTTGTATTTTTAGTAGAGATGGGGTTTCACCACATTAGCCAGGATGGTCTCGATCTCCTGACCTCGTGATCCGCCCGCCTGGGCCTCCCAAAGTGCTGGGATTACAAGCATGAGCCACCGCGCCCGGCCCAGGCCGGGTATGAATCTTATCTTTAGTTTCCACAACTGTCTTTAGCAAGCAAACTTGTATTGGCATCTGGATCATGGAGCTTTTCTCTTAACCTCTCAGCCTAAGCTGAGGAGTTGATTTAACTCAAAGGGAACGAGGACCACCAAGAAGGAATGTTATCTGTCATATTTTAAAAATGAGTATAATCATCTTAGAGCCTGAGATTCCAGACTACTTGGCCAACCTACTAAACTCCAACTGTCTCTGTAAAAATACATTGTTTTCAATCTACAAAATGTCCCAGGAATAGGGCAGCTCACTACCAAGGACCCAGGGCTCTCATTGGTCCACTCTGCCATTCTCTGTGTGTTATCAAGACACAGTCCCAGGTGTCACAGGCTGACATGTTCCTATCCAGAGAGAAAGGGAGGGATTCCCTCCACATGCCTGTCTTATTAGGTAAAATATTCCCCAGGAGCCCCTAGCAGACATCTCCTCCAGTCCCTTTTACCAGGATTGGGTCTCATACCTATACCATAAGGGCAAGGGAGATGAGAATGCAAGTATTTCTATTGTGGGAGAAAGGTCTCCCAGCAATCAAGAAAAAAGATAAAGAAATAGCTGTTTTGGAGACAACCAAGAGTTTTGCCACAGGAGAATAGAGGAGGAGGGGTACCCACGTGAGACCCACTCAGGAGGGTTAAAAGAGCAGCAAATGCTTCCCAGCATTGACTAAGAATTGTATAGGAGAGAGTATAGGAGGGAATTGTCTTTTAGTATCTTGCATGTGATAGGCTTTGAATAAATTTTGAATTTCCCCATGAGGTTGAACGGATTGAAACATAAGGTTGATGGGGCTAAGACGTAATTATGGTAACTCAGGATAGGAGTGTTTGGGTGCAAATCTTATTTTTTACATTGAAATCAGAGAACGCAGCAGTGCCTTTTACAACCATCCTGGTGGCAGTCAGAGACAGGGTCTATGACCTGGACACTGCAGGAGCTCAATCGTTATACCCACACAGGTGTGCTTTTCACATGAGACCCAGGTGAGAGAGACTATTACTTTCCTACATTCTTCTTCACTTTATCAACCCATTAATACTATCTTTCACCACGGTGATGAGAATGACTGACACATGGGAACAGAGATTCATTTTTCACTGTGAAGGAAAAAAATCCCACCTCCAACATGGCATTAAAGAGTACCAATTCCTTATCCTTCTTTGTGTTAAGTGTGTGTTACTTAGGCTTAGCTCATCTGTGTTTAATCGGCTTCCTTCATGCTCTCTCCATGAAGCCAGAGATGTACATATTAAACACAGGAGTTTTTGACAGTTTCCCTTTCCCTAGGGCAAGATTGCTCAACTAATAATAACTAAGATATCTTTTGACAAGTGCAGCTAAGAGCTGGGAAAGCTTAGTCAATCTACATCAGCCTTGTTGGCACTTTCTTTCCATTTCCTACCTGCATTTTCTTGAATGATGGAAACTGGAGAATGACTGTAGAACCTACGAAATCCAGGAGAGGCAGTGGATGAAATCAGGCCCGGAAGGTTAGTGAGGAATGAATGCAAAACCAGACTTATATTGATCAGGGAAAGGAAAATACTTTTTCCAACTACAATTGCAGCTGAAACCCATAAATTAGATGATTGAAGCAATAAGACACGTGAAATGGCTTTTAAGTCCACTACCCGCTCTGTGTAATAAATTTCAAATGACATAGAGGCTTTTAGTGGAAAGAATGATTTATTGCCATATGCAAGAAGGAAGCTTTCAGGGATTATCTCTAAAGTGGCAAAACACTATTCCAAATTTCACAAAATTAGCAAAGCTTCATGAAGCTTGGTGACTGAACTGACAAGCAAGCTAGGTCAAAAAAAAATTTTAATGGAATAAAAATATTGCAAATGTGCATTCTCACATACCAATACTTAGAGGTGTATTAATTACTCAAAAATAATCTAAATTCCACATTAAATGAAAACCTCCTTTGATTTGTTAGAAAAAATCCTGAGGATATTTAATTTTTGAATTACTTTTAATATATGTGTATATCTCAAAAGAATAGATACATAGAAAAGTATAAACCTATTCCTACTCACTTTTGGCATGAATTAATTCTAAATTGATTTACTTTCCTTGCCTCAGGCAACACCCTCCGTTTATCTCTTCATTTAGAAGGAGCTGAGGCAGTTCAGCAATGAACCACCTGAACAGGTGAGAGGAAACAATCATGGAACTAACTTTACATTGCAGTGTGCTCTTACCTCTGCGATTAGGTTCACACCCGTAATCCCAGCACTTTGAGAGGCTGAGGCAGGAGGATCACTTAGGGCCAGGAGTTTGAGACCAGCCTGAGCAACAGGATGACACCCCGTCTCTACAAAAAATTATAAAAATTGTCAGGATATGGTGGTGAGTGTCTGTAGTCCTAGCTACTCAGAAGGCTGAGGCAGGTGGATTGCTGCAGCCCAGGAGTTCGAGATTGCAGTGAGCTATGATCGCACCACTGCACTCCAGCCTGGGTGACAGAGTGTGACCTGTCTCTATGGGGAAAAAAATGTTAGTAGGCAATTCAGGTAGAATCTGAGAGGTTCTTACAAAAATGCATACTTGTCAAGCAGAAGAGTCTAAAAGAAAATGACAGGGAAATCTGCATATTGGGACAGAAAACAATAAGAATGATGCTATGAAGTCTGAGACCTGAAAGATTTCCTAGACTTTGTGCTTCCCTCTTGTCCACCAAGTCCTTTTATTCTAGGAAGTTTGCAAAGAATTGGAAAATGGGAAATTAAGAAGCATGCTTTCTCTACAGACAATAGGCTTTCACTGTCAGAATCTTGGATTTCCAGTGTGCAATGTACCCAGCAGGTTTTCTGGGTTTTGTCCCTGTCCAGGCCCAGCAGTATCTGGCTATTAAGAGGGTGCACCTGAAAGCTTACAGGCATGGTTTCTCATCAGTCTCCAACTCTGCCTCTTCTAACTAGTCCCCTCGCTTTCTGAGGACACATTCAATTCTAAGATATAATTGACATCTGTTAATTAACCATATATTGCACTTCCTTGTTTTCCTTCTATGTCACCTATTTTACCACTACAGAGACTCAGATTTAATTATCTCATCTGTCAAGACAATGGTCTAAGAAAGAAAATGTTTTGGATATTAACACAGTCTCTTTTCTCCCCCTGTAAATCTAATGGAAGTGTATTCCAATTTTTAATGATTTCTCAATTACTGTAAGATAGAAAAATAGCAAAAAAAAGTGCCTCTTTCAATTTACATAATTAAAATGAATATCTTCCTTAGACAATTTTCAGGTTGCCATTCTGGAAACTGTACATGGTTTAATTGTTCATAAGTGGTAGTTCTAATGACTACAATGGAAGAGAACTTTACAGTTTAATATCTCATCTTTCCTCAACGCCTCTTCATATAAACAAATTCTTCCTATAAATGATAATTAGTGATAAAAGCCATAAAACACATTACATTTGAGGTAGCCAGTGTCTTCACATATACCAAGGTATACTCTCCCACTTATCATTTACAAAAATATTGTGTCTCACAAATTTATATGAATATCAAATAAATGAGTTTTCCAACATTTACATTTCCACTAAATCTGAAGATAAAGAGAACTAGTTCCTATCTGAAGAAATGAAATATTCCTCAAGCAAGTAGACCCATAATTTTACACATGATGGAAAAGTATTTTAGTCAGGGATAAGCTCCCAAAACCCTGTGATATGAATTCAGAAATTAATTAAAGAGTAATTTTTTTCTCAGTTTCCAAGTTAACTGAAAGACCTGCATGCAGGAATATTGGAGCCTCAGCGTAGAAAGTATTCAAAAATAATATGATTCATTGTAAAGCAGTTCTCTCTTGAAATCCATCTGTTCTAATTATCTATTGCTGTGCAACAAACCACTCCAAACTCAGTGACATAAAACAGCAACCATTATGCTCACAGGGTCTGTGGGTTGGGATTTTAAACAGAGTACAATGGGGAGGGCTTATTTGTGCTCCAGGACATCTGGGGCCTCAGCTTGGAAGGCTTCAGTGGGTTGAGGGTGACTCAACAGTCAGGGGCTGGTATCACCTGGAAGCTTCTTCACTCACAGTCTTTTATTTTAGGAGGTTTATTCTAGCAAGTGCCTGAGCTGGGATAACTCAAAGGCTGAGCCCAGCTTGGACTGTCAGTCAGCATGCCTGCACACAGTCTCTCCACGTGGCTTGAGTTCCTCACAGCATGGTAGCTGAGCTCCAGAAAAAGCCTTCTGAGATGGAGCATCTGGAAAATGAGTCTTCTAGAAGACCAAGGCTGACACTACCTGGTTTTTTTCCTGCCCAGCCTCAGAAGGTATACAGTATCACTTTCACCAAATTCCACTAGTTACAAGCGAATTCTGAAAGGCAGCCCAGTTTGAAAGGGGGTGAAATGAGACTCTTCCTCTTGATAATAGAGTTGCAAAGTCACATTGTCAAAGAGTATGTGGGTTGGAAGTTATTGTCAAAGCCATCTTTGGAATATGCAGCCTGGCCAACCATCAAGGGAAGAGGATTGAATGTGAAATGCTTTTACTATCTTTCATACAACAATCTATGCTAGGTAATTTACACATAATCACTGAATTACCAACAACTTTATGCTTCAGTTCTAACACGAGCCACATTATATTAGCAATATCTATTTTTAATCTGTCTCCTCAACTAGTTGATAAATTACTCCAGAACAAGAATTTTATTTTTATCTGTTCCCAGTGCCTTGCATGATACCAGGCATGTAATAGATGCTCAAATATTTGTGAAATAAAAATCTTCTCTGTAATAGATCTGGTCATAATTATTCACTTACATACATTTTCCCTGTTCAACTCCCTGCCTCTTGCTGGCTTGGACTTTGTCTTGCTTATCCCCAAAACTTAACACTATGCCTGGTACACAGTAAGTTCCCAAAATACATATATTTAGAGCTGAACTAGTCTTTGTTAAGAAGATAGCCCCACTATATTGAAACCAATAATGGAACTGCTGTGAGGTTAAAGATAATTAACTACATCCATCGTCCTATAGTAATAGAAACCAAAAGCACATATTTCCCTTACCAAATAAACAAATTAATTTCTAACAAACTACTCCAAAAGCTATTGGGTTAACATAACAAATGTTTTATTATCATTTGAGATTCTGCACATTGACTAGGCAGTTCTGATATTGGCTGATTTGCAGTTATTCAAGCACTCAGTTGATCTGGAACCACCAAGATGACTCCCTCCCATTGCTGGCAATTGATGCTGGCTGTTGGCTGAGAGCTTAGATTGGCAGCCTGCTAGAAATCTTGCAGGACGCTTCTCCCTGGGAGACATGAGCATCTCACAGCCATGGGGCTGTGTTCCAAGAGGGTGGACCAAGAGCAAGCATTCTAAGGGAGAAGAAATGGAAGTTGCTGATCTTCATAAAAGCTAGGCTCAGAACTGCCACAGTATCACTTAGCCATATTTTATTGGTTGAGCTGTCACAGCACCAGTGAGATTCAGGGGTTGAGAAAATAAGTTTCATTGTCAAAGGGGTGTGATCAAGAATATGCAATCATCTTTAATCCACTGCAGAGTGGGAAAAAGGAAAAACAAATGCAGACTACTTTGGTACAACTTCTTTTGTTTGCGAATAAGTAGAATAATCCAACACTACACCTATGGTTAAGCAAAGCTCAAGGTGAAGATTCTAAATTGATTCCTGCACAGCTCAGAGACAGAAAACCTGGCCTTTTCCTGGTTGTCTAGTAAGACTTGGGTGCTTCACGGAAGGGATTTATGTTCTCTCTTTATAAATCATTTGAGATAGCCTAAGTGAAGAACACAAGCCAGTTGGACATATACCAGCTAACACCCTGCCCACTTATTTTAACCAATGCTAATTAGAGGAAAAAGTTTCCTGGGAAAATAGTCACAATTTTAGCTAAAAAAGAAAAAATAGAGTTACAAACTTGTATTTATAATATCATCCCAGTTATGTTTTACTTCTGTGTAATAAGTTGAAGCATGTTAAACAAATTTTATGGGAAGCCATTGTTTTGGGCTGAGCTCCTGCATTAGACCCCTACAGACTAGACCAAATCAAAACGGAGTCACGTGTGCTACGTGCCACATAATCAAATTGAAACTTTAAGAAAGCGGGTAGATCACCAAACAGGCCAGTTTTTTTCCTGAAAACAGGATGCTCACAAACACCAATTGGAATGGGCCCAGTCAATCTGAGTCAATGTAATAGGGAAGTCCCTTCTTCTTTAACCCTTATAAGATAGGTAAACTGAAGTAATGAGATGTTAACCAATCCACTTTTTTCTAGTGTGTTGTTTCCTTGTTCCCATCTTACAAAACCCAACTCTTCTGTCATACCCTGCAGAACACATATTCTATTTTATATGAAATGCTGTCCAGATCTAGGATGTCAAATAAAAGCCAATTCGATCTTTAAGTTAAACTTCTAATTTTGTCTTTTGGCAGGTGTTGGGCATTTGTTGCAATAGTATATGAAAACTCAAATTTGTTATCTTCTGCTGCTTTTAGACAAAGCTTCTTGTGCATACTTGGAGGATGAGTTTTCAGGTATTATATGTCAAGACTGGAACCGCCTTAGCTCCTGGGTAAGTTAAATGGTCTGTGCTGGGTCTAAGGGCCTAGAATCTGGCCATTTGAAAGAGAAAGGTGTTTAGGTGAGTTTTTAAATACTATGATTCAAATGAATCGGAAATAAAGGCTGAGTATTTCTCAGGGCTGAAGGAGAATGTGGCCTGATTTGGGATGAACAAATCAGCAATTAGAAGAGTAGAGGAATTCCTGAGGAATGTGAGGAAAGAATAAGAAGGTTGCCAATACCTTCAA